>NC_000012.12:117157097-117308612 GCF_000001405.40 Homo sapiens
GCTTGAACTGGGAGGCAGAGGTTGCAGGTGAGCTGAGATACAACACTGCACTCCAGCCTGGGCAACAGACCCAGACTGTCTCCAAAGAAAAAAAAAAAAAGAAAAAAAGAAAAGAAAAATGAAATGTTTGAATAGGCGCTTAATAAAAGGAAATTTGGAACTTGGATAGCCAGTAAATATATGAAAAGAACCTTAACGTGTTTAGTAACCCAGGAAACAGAAATTAAAACCACAGTGAAACACTATTTGCCCTTTCTCAGGTAAGTACACTTTTAAAGGTCTGGCAATAGCACCAGGCGAGAATAGGAACTCCAGGCTCCCAGCCTGCTGGTGGGATGTAAACTGCTCCAATCACTTTGGATACAGTTTAATTTTGCCTGGTAAATAGACCAAGTGCCTATCGGATTTGAAGAGACTGAGATTAAGTGACAAGATATAAGAACAATGAGGAAATGAGAGAAAAAACTCGTGTCTTACAAAGTTACTTCCATGTTCTCACACACAGAGAAGGGTCAAACATCTAAAGGCCACTAAAAACACTAGAAGATCTCTCAGGAAAGTAAGCTGCTGCTTAAAAAACACAAAGGTCAAAGACACGGTTCAAAAAGAAAAAAAAAGAGGTTCAGCTTTCTGTCTTCCCCGCGGTGCGCACTCGGGGGATAAGTGATCCAGTCAGCTCCTCCTCCACTGTGTCCTGGGGGCTCACCAGGTGCATGTGTGTCTCTGCAGCCCCTCTGGAACGGACACTGCAGGACAGATGATCCCGGGCACTCACCTCTTATGCTTCATAATGAGCCCGATGGAGTAGCAGACATCTCTGTGCTTCTCATCGGAGCGCAGCTTCACCTCTACGCCCACCTCCTCCTTTTTGCGCTCAATGTGCTCTAGAGTGTGCTGCACCAGGTAGCCCACCGCCCCGTGCTGCCCCGGGTCTAGGGTTTGGATGTGCTGGAGGATGTCAAGCACCTTCAAAACAAGACAGAAAGACTAAAAGATAATATTTTCAGCTAGGCCTTTTCTTTTTTGCGGCGAGGGATTTAGACCTACCTACGTAACCTAACAAAGCAAAGGACCAAAAGGGGTGGCTATGCCCTGATCGAACCGGTCCAGGTCTCTGGACCATCCTCTGATGGACCGCCACCAAATCGGCACTGCAGATGCCCAGGGTTGGGCTCTACTGTAACACTGGCAGCTGGCCCAGGATACCCCAATTCAACCAGTGTCAACCTGAGGAGTTCTTTGGAAACCAGTGTGCTGGGATAAGCGCTGGGGACGCAGGTGAGGGCCCACCACCTAGGGCACTCTGGATGAGGTGGGCTCTAACAGCACCTAGCATGCTTGGTCGGCATGGGAAATGTGAGAATCCACGTTTTTTCAATACACAGGAATGATTTTCACTTGCCACTCACGAATTCAGAGGGGAAAAAAAAATGCTAAATTGCTTTAATCGAGACGAAGAGGATGTCTGACACAACTGCCTCAGTGCTGGAAAAGATGGAAAAGGTCACAGAGTGGGCACCAAAGGGATGCATTCGTTGAGTTTATGAAGCTACACTAGAAGGAGGGAGCCACGTATATCAGAGTTCTAAAATCCTGCTGGTCACTTCAGTGGTCTTAACTCATCATGGTATTTGGTATTCAGCAGGCAGCAGGAGAAACTACATCTATGCAGAGGTTAAACTAGTAGCACAGAGTAGCAGCCCTGTCTGACTCCACTATTACCGCCTCTACTGCACACAGTGCCTCTGTGGAAAAAACTCCACGTTTAAAAAGACACAGACATACAATTATTTCGCACCCATTACGTTTACAGCCCTTAGCATAGAATTTCTGACAAGGTTCTCCTTCCAATTTACTGAGTCCTGGATTACAGCCTGCTTAGTGCGTTACAGCAACCTGGACTCTAGGCCCAGATCGGTCAGACTAGCTGGCGTTTTTACCTCTGAATTCCTTTCTTAGCTTATCAAATCATGAGTAATCACTGTCCTATTTGCTGATGCATTGTGAGCCTGTCAAAGTATTGTGAAAACTCCAGTTTTATGCACCATGTTATTATCTTGCCTTTCAGACTGCGACGTGCTGGACCTCAACATTTACTGAACACTATTCTCTGCTGGTCACTGTGCCAAGTCCATCAGGTTTTTTGTTTCACTTAATCCTTCCCATTTGAAGGTCAGTAATTTCTTGATCTTCAAATTGGGAGGATTAGGTGGAAAAAAAAAAAAAGCTTTTAATCACTGCCACTTCCCGAACAGGACTCAGGCTTAGTGAAGTGACTTTCCCGGGGTCACAGGGTTGTGGAGAGGTGGAGTGAGGCTGTGGCTCTGGGTGTGAAGATCAACTCTTGGTCTCAACCAGTGTCATATCCTAGCAAGAGCAGGAGCATTTTAAATTAACTACTACAAAAAGTTCCAAACACATAAAAATGGACAAAGCAGTATAATCCCAAGTACCCCAAACCCAGTTTTGACAAGAATCAACAGACAGCCAATCCCCCTGTGCCTCTACCTCCAGCCGGGTGCTTTTAATTGTGGGACACTCGCAGATTTACCCTTTACTTTAATAGGAAGCGCCTACTGACAGTGCCTGCATAATGGCTGTCCTTGTGGCCTGAAAGAGTACCAACAAGCCGCTTTTTCTGCCCCTCCACTGTGTTCCACACACACAGCTCCCCTTCTCTCCTAGCAGCCACCTCCCCATCAGATAAGTAAAATGGTCAGAACTTGGCATCGTCAGAGAACAGAGGAAGTCTAGATAAGGTCAAGGATAATTACCCCCACCTTCGCTGGATGTGTGGCTGAGCGCGAAGGGAGAGGGCAGAAATGAAGACATTGTGCCTCGGGGCCTGGCGTATTTGCAGACAGTGTTGACCCAGGCACCATGCCG
The DNA here is from genome assembly GCF_000001405.40 of Homo sapiens. Lineage (NCBI taxonomy): Eukaryota > Metazoa > Chordata > Mammalia > Primates > Hominidae > Homo > Homo sapiens. The sequence continues at coordinate 117,159,984 of NC_000012.12, forward strand.
TCCCCACCAAATACTCTAGGGCTAGAATGCCGCAAGATCACCACTTCTGGGGTGGAGATCCTGGATTGGGGTCTATTACCCATGATGCATTTCCCTATACTGCTCTTCTCCCTCTAGCCTAGGGGTTGGTAAACTTTTTCTGTAAAGGGCTAGAGAAGAGACACTAGGCTTTGGGGGCTACACAGTCCCTGATTTAACTACTCAACTCTGCCACTGTAGCTTGAAAAAAGCTATAGATAATAAGTAAACAAACACAACTTATTCACAAAAACAGGCTTTGTGAATCTGGCCCACAAGCTATAGTTTGCTGGCCCCTGCTCTGTCCCTGAATTCCAGGTTCCCTCTAAGGTTCTCTCTGAAGTTCTTGGCTCTGCTTTCTTGAGATCCATTGTCTATGGATCCGCTACTTCTGGGGCTTCAGTTACCAGATGCTGATGCTGGGAGCTCCTGCTAAAGGCTACTGGGCATCTGCACTCGATGGCTTCAGGTCAGGATGAATGCATCATACCCCACACAAAACACTCTCCTACTACCAAAACAGGCCTGCTCTCCAAATACCTACTTTCAGAGTGGCATAAACTGCCCCCGTGTTGAAAAATCTGGACATCCTTTGAGTCTTCTTTATTCATATCTAATGAAGTTCTGCCACATTTTTTTTGAGACAGGGTCTCACCCTGTCACCCAGGCTGGAGTGCAGTGATGTGATCATGGCTCACTGCAGCCTTGGCGTTGACCTCCCAGGCTCAGGAGATCCTCCCACCTCAGCCTCGCAAGTAGCTGGGACTACAGGCACATGCGATCACGTGCAGCTACTTTTTGTATTTTATTTTGGTAGAGACCGGGTTTTGTCATGTTGCTCAAGTTGGTCTCAAACTCCTGGCCTCAAGTGATCCACCTGCCTCTGCCACCCCAAGTGCTGGGATTACAGGCATGAGCCACTGCACCTGGCAGTTATTTCTTAATTATTCATTTAAACAATTTTTTGAGCTCCTATCATGGGCCAGGAATTGTGTTGAGAGCGTGGGGAAGGCGACAGTTAGGAACAAGACCTGGTCCTGGTCCTTAAAGAACATGTTCTAATGGAGACAGATGACGGAGCAGCAGCTACCACAGACTGGACAAAGCTCTAGGAAGGGCAAGCACAGGAACGACGGGAAAACATGACCTGGCCGCACACAGGAACCAGGGAAGGGGTTTCAGAGGAGGCAGAAGTCTAAGCTGACAGCTGGGCAGAAGTGAGCCAGCAAATGGAGTTGAGGATGAGCAGAGGCCCTGGGCAGACACGCAGCACATGCAAAAGACTGAAGCAAGACAGTGCAGGCACACAGAAAAAGTAGTGGGTGCAGGAGAGGACCAAGGAACTCCACGGGAGGTGGGGAGCATCAGGCAAGCAGGGCCAGACCGCCGAGAACCTAAAAGCCACACGGAGGAGAGCAAGTCTGGTCTTCAAGGCAACAGGGGAGCCACCCTGAGGGGTTTAAGCAGTGAAGGGACCTAATTGATATTTTGTTAAGATTCCTCTGGCCTGCATACAGAGCGGGTTCACAGGGGCTCAGAGTCCAGAGAGGGAGGACAAGCAGGAGGCCAGGGCACTGCTTCGGGCTGCAGAAGTGCTGGTCTCAGCGGGTCGACTTTCACCCGTCTGGGAGACAGAGTCACGTGCAGGGGTGTAGCAGGTGTGTGGATATGCTGGTCTGAGCCCAGGGTCCAGGCAGGGGTCCAGTGCTCCAGCAGCCACAGCAGACAGGCAGAAACTGACACAAGAAGAGGGGAACTGTCCTAGGGCACAGGTGCAGGGTAGAAGACGTCTAGAAACCATCCTTCAGCCTTGAAGGGAGGAAATAGCAAGAGCCTGAGAACCAGAGACCACAGAGCAAAAGTAACCGAGTGTTCCCAGAAGGGAGTAGCCTGCAGTGACAGGGCAAGATACAGAAAGAAAAAGTATGTACTGCATTTATCAACGAGGAGAATGGTTTCAGCCAAAGAGGGTCACTGGCTTCCTTGGCAAGAACAGTGCCTATGGAGGAGGCATGGGAACGGGTCCTGATGTCCTGGGGAGTGAGTGGGAGGCAGACTAAGAGCTTCAGCTCTTGGGGAGGAGGAAAGGTGGCAACCCAGGGAAATTCCTGCAGGGCAGACAGGGAGTGCTTTTTGTTTTTCTTCTAATAGAAGAGAGGGGTGTTTGCCTTGGAAAATTGGAGGGATACCTTTTCCACTGAAAGGAAGAGAAAGAGGGAAAGGAGAACTATGGATCATGATGAGGACGAAGGTCTGGCAGCAGGAAGGAGAAGGTGCCTGTGTGCTGGCTTCTTCAGAAGCGCTCTGGCCTTGGCCCACTGTACCACGGGATGCCGCATGGGGTGGGCTAGGGCATCAGCTTGCCTGCACTGAACTCCTAGTGCCGTCACGGCATGTGCAGGAGACCTGGCTAAGTTATTTAACTTCTCCCTGCCTCAGTTTCATTATTTCCCATATGGCAAAAAGAAAAATAATATCTACCCTATAGGGCTGCTAAGAAGATGGAAGGAGGCGTTCAGTCAGTACTCCCGACTTAAAATCTCACCATCCCGCCCTCTCTATGTCCATACAGCCGTCATAACCCTGCATTACTGTGACAGTGACCAAGGCGGCTGATGTTTCTTAGCTCTTCCTGATTTAATTCAATCAATAACAAGACAACCTTCAGGCCTTCCCAGCTCAGGAATGTCTCCCTTTCACTTGATAAACTCAAAGCCTTCCACAAACTGGTCTCACACTCCGTAACAATTTTATACACACATATGTAAAAATACACCTCAAACTGCACACTCATCAGCATAGAAATCCGTGCTAGGCTGACATCTGCAGGCGCCACACCCTCCCACCCCTGGACCACGTGCAGGCTGTTCCCACTGACTGGAGTCACGTACTTTTCTGCCCTCTGAAGTTGTTTTTCATTTTTCAAGGTCACACCTGAAACCCTTCCTCTGGAGAGGAACCTTGTCCGATTTCTTCAGCACCCCCTGGCTTCTTCCGCACTGGGAGTCCCAGAGTTTTCCTTGGCTGTCTCAGGGGCCCTAGCGGGATTATGCATTTATTAAGGGTAGGCAGTCACACATGCGCTGGCAATGAGCCACTTTTCTCCCCTAATCTCTGAATGAGGGGTCACCCAAGAGATGGACTCCAGCAGCAAATGTCAAGATTTCCCCCTAAAAGGGGATGTTAATAGCATCACTTCGACAATGACTCAAAATTTAACTATCAAATTTACATTTAAAGAAACTTGCAGGCCGGGCACGGTGGCTCACGCCTGCAATCCCAGCACTTTGGGAGGCCGAGGCAGGTGGATCACTTGAGGTCAGGAGTTCAAGACCAGCCTGGCCAACAGGGTGAAACCCCATTTCTACTAAAAATATAAAAATTAACCAGACGTGGTGGCACGTGTCTGTAATCCCAGCCACTTGGGAGGCTGAGGCAGGAGGATCACTTGAACCCGGGAGGCAGAGGTGGCAGTGAGCCAAGATTGCGCCACTGCACTCCAGCCTGGGCAAGAGAGTGAGACTGTCTCAAAAAGAAAGAAACAAAAGAAAAAAGAAAAAGAAGAAAAGAAACTTGCTTTGCTCTGCATCTCATAAAAACTTAACAAGTCTAAAGTAAAAAGTGTATATATATCCTGGTATCAAAAATAAATAGGCAGGGGCTGGGTGTGGTGTCTCACGCCTGCAGTCCCAGCACTTTGGGAGGCCGAGGAACGCAGACTGCTTGAGGTCAGGAGTTCGAGAACAGCCTGGCCAACATGGTGAAACCCCGTCTCTACTAAAACAAATACAAAAATTAGTCAGGCGTGGTGGTGTAGCTATAGTCCCAGCTACTCGGTAGGCTAAGGCAGGGGAATTGCTTGAACCTGGAAGGGAGAGGCTGCAGCAAGCTGAGATCGTGCCGCTGCACTCCAGCCTGGGCGACAGAGCAAGACTCCATTTCAAAAAAACAAACCAAAAAAACCCCAAATAAATAAATAAATAGGCAGGGTGTGGTGGCACACACTTGTAATCCCAGCACTTTGGGAGGCCAAGATGGGCTTGAGCCCAGGAGTCCAAGGCCAGCCTGGGCAACATGGTGAAACTCAGTTTCTATTTAAAAAAAAAAAAAAATTAAAATACATAAATAAAATGAAAATAAATGATTACATCTTGGACAAGTAGTTGGTAGCTTTGGTGGAAAGTTTTCTTTTCCAATAATTCCTCTACCACATTACACATATATTCTGGGAGGACATTTTCTATGTGGGCTACAGATGACATCTTTTCTTTTCTTTTTTTTTTTTTTTTTTTTGAGACAGAGTCTTGCTCTGTTGCACTGGCTAGAGTGAAGTGGCATGGTATCAGCTCACTGCAACCTCCGCCTCCTGGGTTCAAGCAATTCTCTTGCCTCAGCCTCCTGAGTAGCTGGGATTACAGGTTCCCACCACCACGCCCAGCTAATTTTTGTACTTTAGTAGAGATGGGATTTCACTATGTTGGCCAGGCTGGTCTTGAACTCCTGATCTCAGGTGATCCACCTGCTTCAACCTCCCAAAGTGCTGGGATTACAGGCATGAGCCACCATGCCCGGCTGACATCTTTTCTTAAAACAGGAGCCTTGGGGTTTTCCTACTGATGCATCATTTCTTAGAACTATTTTAGATCTCCGAAGTTGTGAATCAGTGAGACTTTAAATTTAAGCAATGTAGAGTCACTTGTAATATTTACTTTTTCAAGGAAGATTTTACCCCTCTCTAATGACACAGGGAGATGAGTTTATGTTGATGGCCTGTGAGACCTCAGAATTAAATTCTGCTCTAAACAAACAAAAAGGACTATTCACATATTTCCAGAGAAGGGCCAGGGCATGGTGGGAATGTGCAGCTGGCTCCTGCACCATTATACACAACGGGCCTCTCCATGTGCTGCAGCCACACAGCTCACGGAGGTAAACACCGCAGCCTTCTGAAAGGGCATGCTGCTGCCCAAAGGGGGCCATTAAAAAACTGAGAAAATTCAAGTGAAACAGTGTCAAAATTCAATGGTTTTCAGAAAGTCCTTCTCTAGTCCAGTGGCTGGACTTGAACATATCTAAGATCCAATTTTCCTGTGAAAACAGGAGTACTTATTCATGGCCAATGTAGTTGCTAACAGTACAGCTGGAGGTTGACCATTTACAGCTGTGCTTTCCCTTGCTGAGTGAGGGTGACTTGGGGAAAACGATCTGAGGGCCCCAGTGGTTGAGTAGCGGGTACAGAGGCTTTGTGGTTCTAGGGTTTAAGGAGCTGACCACAAAGAGAACAGGCAATTCCTGGCAGTGGAACCAATTTTCCTTAGAATAAGAGAAGTAAAAAAAAATCTACCAATGGGTTATGATTGGGAGACTGAATAAATTTGTGTTTATTCCCCATGTTAACACAAAGATAAGCTTGTCACGGGCACCCTTCAATCTAGGACTTCCCTTTCTAAGGCAAGTGCAAAGCATCAAAGTAAAATAATTACCTTCTCTGGCCAGATTCCCAGGTGGAAGTAAAGCCTGGCTTGGAGGAGGAGAAGCTGCACCTGGTCCGGGTACATTGCCAGATAGAGATCCAGCGAGTCTCTCAGGAGCTGGTATGACTGGTCGATGCCTTCCCTAGCAGAGGAAAAACAATGTTTGTCTCATCCTGCTTGTTTTTTCAGCAAAGACTCTCTTTTTCAAGGCCCAGGTTTTAAATATAATTGACACAAATCCCAAACGTTTTCTGATTCTGGTATTTCTTCTCAGCTCAACGAAGAGATACAATGCTCTTAAGAAAAAAAAAATACACAATAAATATAAATCTTGTGCCCTACTTTGGTGATGGGTACTAAATTAAAATCAGAAGCATTTTTACTAAGCAGTCACTGCAATAACACTGTACATAATTAAAAATGAATTCTGAAGGCCGGGCGCAGTGGCTCATGCCTGTAATCCCACCACTTTGGGAGGCCAAGGCGGGCGGATCACCTGAGGTTGGGAGTTCAAGACCAGCCTGACCAACATTGAGAAACCCCGTCTCTACTAAAAATACAAAAATTAGCTGGGCGTGGTGGCGCATGCCTGTAATCCCAGCTACTCAGGAAGCTGAGGCAGGAGAATCGCTTGAATCCAGGAGACAGAGGTTGTGGTGAACTGAGATCACGCCATTGCACTCCAGTCTGGGCAACAAGAGCGAAACTATGTCTCAAAAAAAAAAAAAAAAAAAGAATTCTGAGTAGGCGGAGCACAGAGGATATTTTTGGCCAGTGAAACTACTCTGTGTGATACTATAAAGGGGGACACATGTCATTATGTGTTTGTGCAAACACACAGAATATATGACACCAAGAGTGAACCCTCAGTGATAATGATGCGTCAGTGCAGGTTCACTGGCTGCAACAAATGCACTGCTCTGGTGAGGATGTTGACAGTGAGGGAGGCTGTGCATGTGTAGGGCAGGGAGGATATGGGAACTCTCTGTACTTTCTGCTCAATTTTGCAGTTAGTCTAAAACTGCTCTAAAAAATAGTCTATTAAAAAAAAGAATTCTGTCATTAGACATAAAACTATTACTATAATATAGTCTACAACTTTCTACTTTCCCTATATGACAAATTTTCTTGGACTTAGAAACAAGACAGTTTCATATTTTTGTTTTCTTATCTAATGATAGGAAGGTATAAATTAAAAGACGGCAAAGCATTTGGATATGAGAAGATCTTGCCCTTGAAAAATATCTTTCCTAGTCTAAGATATTCTTGTTACTGAAGAATGTTTCCAGTACTCGCAAAGAGAACTTCTTAGGGTCTACTGCAAAGATCTCAACGAAAAGTCACTTGGCACATCTCAAACACAATTCAAGCCTCTAAAGACATGTGCTCTGCAGAAGTACTAGAAAACCAAGAAAACCTTACCGCTTCCCCAGGCTTAACAGGTTTCCCACCATTCTCTGTAACACCTTCTTGACATTGACCACCCCATACAGTGCTGCAGTCACGTGCTGGCCGATCAAGTACTCGCATTCTTTCACTGTCAGCTGCTTGCCTTTCCCAAAAGCATCTATGTAGATGTAGTCAAAGATGTCCAGGGTCGCCCTATCCAAAGAGCCAAATATCAGATGAGAGCTGAACAACTCATTATTTTAAGTCTCCACAGTAAGTAGCTCAAATCATGGGCTGAAGGTTGAGACCATAACATTTCTACTTACAATATGAAGGTCTTGTCCAAGTTTAAAATCTGACCCCTTTGTGCAAGCTCTGCTAAGACCACAGCACACTGACATTTAAGAAACAGCACCAATGTATGTCATCTAATAGCGTTCTTTAGGAAGACTAAAACTCACTGCCAGGAGTATCTACAAGTTCAGCTAAGATAAAGATTTATGGAATGCCTGAGGCAGTCTGTTAATTCCATAGATTAGCAGCAGGTAACCGTCTGTGGATCCTGGGCCCTGGATGATCTGAAGAAAGTTACAGAACCTCAGCCGGGCGTGGTGGCTCACACCTGTAATCCCAGCACTTTGGGAGGCCGAGGCGGGTGGATCACAAGGTGAGCAGATTGTGACTAACATCCTGGCTAACACGGTGAAACCCGGTCTCTACAAAAAAATTGGCCAGGTGTGGTAGCACGCACCTGTAGTCCCAGCTACTCGGGAGGCTGAGGCAGAAGAATGGTGTGAACCCGGGAGGCGGAGCTTGCAGTTAGCCAAGATCACGCTACTGCACTGCACTCCAGCCTGGGCGACAGAAAAAGACTCTGTCTCAAAAAAAAAAAAAAAAAGTTACAGCACCTCACACCAGAAGGATTCGGCCATCAGTTCTGCTGACATGCTGAGGTGGTCAGAGACCTGCTGAGCCCATCACAGCCTTGGGCTGGGAACCCTGTGCTAGAGCACAGAGAGCTGTGCCCCTGGCCTTGATCACACAGCTCTTCTTGCAGCTCTTCTGCTTTCTGTGACCTGCACTCGAACTGCACTAGTATGCTGGGGCTGGCCCTCGCTGAGCACAATGCTGAGCAGTGGTCACATGATGCAAGCTCTCACTGAACTGCCAGGCCCATTCTCTGTGAGGACTCATGGAATCCTCATGGAGGATTCAGGTGGCTCTGTTTCAGGGATATTAGTGTTTCTTATGAGCTATTGTTTCATCTTATATCTGAAGCCCACTACAAATCGTAGCATATTCCTCTCTTTGGTTGCTAAAAAAGTCCAGTCGAATTTCTTCCTTGAGTCATATTTATAACCTACCCTTAGCAAGGATATAGCTGGGTGCGGTGGCTAACGCCTGTAATCTCAGCACTTTGGGAGGCCAAGGCAGGCAGATCACGAGGTCAAGAGATCGAGACCATCCTGGCCAACATTGTGAAACCCTGTCTTTACTAAAAATACAAAAATTAGCTGGGCGTGGTGGTGCATGCCTGAAATCCCAGCTACTCGGGAGGCTGAGGCAGGAGAATCACTTGAACCCAGGAAGCGGAGGTTGCAGTGAGTCAAGATCGCACCACTGCCCTCCAGCCTGGGTGACAAAGTGAGACTCCATCTCAAAAAAATAAAAAAAAATAAAATAAATAAACCTATGAGGAAAGTACAAAAAAAAATAAGAATTACATAAATGTTCTAGAAACAAGGCACTCTTAAACTCTTTTTATGAGGCTAGAACTTCCTAAGGACAAATGTACAAAAATTTCTAGGCCAAGATCATTTATGAGCTATCATAAATGCAAAAATCCTGGATAAAACATGAGTAAATCAAATGCAGCAATGTATTTTACAAATAAGTGATTAAGTTAGATGTGCTGCAACAATCGAAGGAGAGTTGAACATGAAAAAATCTATTTTGTAACAGATGCTAAGGAGATTGTGGAGAAAAAGGAATGCTTATACACTGTTAGTGGGAGTGTAAATTAGTTCAACCATTGTGGAAGAGAGTGTGGTGATTCCTCAAAGGCCTGAAGACAGCTAAACCATTTGACCCAGCAATCCCATTACTGCATATATACCCAAAGGAATATAAGTCATTCTATTATAAAGTCACATGCACACATATGTTCACTGCAGCACTATTCACAATAGCAAAGACCTGGAATCAACCTAAATGCCCATCAGTGATAGACTGGATAAAGAAAATATGACACATATACACTATGGAATACTATGTAGCCACAAAAAAGAACAAGATTATGTCCTTTGCAGGGATATGGATGGAGCTAGAGCCATCATCCTTAGCAAACTAACAAAGGAACAGAAAACCAAAAACTGCGTGCTCTCACTTATAAGTGGGAACTATGTGATGAGAACACATGGACCCAGAGTGGAACAATACACACTGGGGCCTATCAGAGGGTGGGCGGTGGGAGACGATAAGGAAAAATAACTATGGGCACTAGGCTTAATACCTGCATGAAATAATCTGCACAACAAACCCCCATAACACAAGTTTACCTATGTAACAAACTTGCACATGTACACCTGAACTTAAAAGTTAAAAAAAGAAATTCTATTACAACAAAAAAATATACTTCTAAACATATGGACTAAAAGAGAAAAACCTTATCATATGAGTAGACACAGAAAAAGAATTTTGAAAAAAAAAAATCAAATGCCTAGCTATTAATAAAACTTAGCAAAGTAGGAATTTAGATGGTAGCTTTCATAATCCCTAACTGCTCCCAACAGCATGCCTGCTGGTGAATTTTGGTTTTCTTTTTCTGAGACAGGGTCTTGCTATGTTGCCCAAGCTGGCCTTGAACTACTGGGCTCAATCAATCCTCCCACCTCAGCCTTCCAAGCAGCTGGGACTACAGGCGTGCGTCACCGTGCCTGGCTTTGAAATTGTAAAAGCATTCCATTTAAAATCATACCCAAGGCAAGAGTCCCTGCTATCTTTGTTTTTATTTAACTTTGTACAAAAAGATCTAACCAGCAGAGTAATGCAAGAGAAAGAAACAAATATATATAGTTACAAAAAAGAAGAAACCAAATTGTCACTATTCACAGATACTATGATTATCCACAGAGAAAAGCCAGGAATGGACAAATTATTAGCACTAACGATTTATTCAGCCAAGGCACTGAAGATCCAAACTGTATCTAGATAGCAACCACATCTCTGTATATCATTAATACTTAAAAAAATGTAATCTTAAAAATTACCATTTACAACTGAAAAAAAAAAAAAAAAAAGGAAGGTACCAAAGAATAAATCTAACAAGATGTTAGCTTGATGAAGAAAAAGATAACATCTTTTTAAGGCCAGTAATGACAACCTAAACAGAGTGGTCCATGTTCACAGAAAGACTGATAGTGAGACATTGGCGATGTCCCCCTATTAATCTAGAACTCCAATTCAAAGTAATCCCTGGCTCCAATCAACAGACACATAGGGTTTCCAAAGAACCTGACAAAACTGATTCTAAATCTATACGGAGAGCAAAAGCTAAAAACAGCCAAGGCAATTTTGAAGAACTAGCTGGAGTTTCATCCTACCAGATATCAGGGATAATTATAAAGTTACAGTGCTTAAGAAAATATGGTCTTGGTACAGGGACAGAGAAAAGTGGCCAAAGGCAGAGAGAAGAGAAAAGGACAGAAAGGGCCATAGCCCAGCAGCTCCTGCCTTGTCCCTGAGGGCTGAGTCCCTTATGGGGCTCAGTGCTTGTTTCTGTCACATGTCTAGGGGGTATTAAATTATTTCATTGTTCATTTGCATTATAGTGTATGTCTGCTGTAGCACACGAAGGAAAAATGATGTTAACTGCATACAATCCTACCCTGTAGTAAGTTATCGTGGCAAATGACATGGTAATTGGTGTCTTAAATGTTTTATAGTGTACAGAAATCTTTGGTGGATTATTACATAGGCATTTAAGAATATTTTGGAGATACTTGGGGAGATTGGTTGGGTTATTTGGGGAGAGGGAATGGGATGAAAAATCATTTTTCCCACTTAAAATAATGGAAATTGGGTCCCCACTATCCAAAAATTAAACCATGCAGTACATCCTCAGAAACACATATCTGGAACACAAGGGAAGCCTGTATGGGTATTTAAGGCAACACACAGAAGTAATGAACCATCAACATTTGCATGGAAATAAACACAGCCAGGCGCGGTGGCTCACGCCTGTAATCCCAGCACCTTGGGAGGCTGAGGCAGGCGGATCACTTGAACTCAGGCGTTCAAGACTAGCCTGGGCAACATGGCAAGACCCCGTCTCTACAAAAAAATTAGCCAGGTGGTGGTGGTACATGCCTGTGGTCCCAGCTACTAGGGAGGCTGGGGTGGGAGGATGGCTTGAGTCCAGGAGATGGAGGATGCAGTAAGCCAAGATTGCGCCAATGCACCCCAGCCTGGGTGGCACAGCCAGACCCTGTCTCAAAAAAAAAAAAAAAAAAAAAAAAGAAATAACAAACACTTTCAAACTGGTGGTTAGCTCTGGAGAGGAGAAAGGGATGAGGAAGAGTACCTGGGAGGCTTCAACTAAATAGGTAATGTTTTATTTCTTAAACTAAGAGGTAGGAACAGAGACCAATTGTACTTTTTTGCTATGTCACATCAGAAACTCTCCTGGGTATATAATATACTGGGTGAGCTCATTTAATCTTCCAAGCTGCTTTATAAAAAACATTAATCCATTTTACCAAGGAAGAAACAGGCCTCCTCAGAGGAAGGCAAAGTTTGAACCTAGTTTGACTATAAAGCTCTGGTACTTTCTATCACACAATTCATCATTAAAGGGTATCAGAGTTAATCATTAAGACAGAGTTTCAAAGATCAGGACATAGGTAAATAACTTTTTTCTTTTTCCCCTAAATTGTAGATTTAATGAGAATATATTTCTACCTGTTGAACTATTTCTTTCAGAAAAGCTAGACTATAACTGAAAATGAGCTTTTTGCCCTACAGAGCACTAGGTTTAAAAAAGAACAAAACAGAACTCAGTAACCAGGTCTCTAAAATTCTCATCAGTCACCAACCTTGCCTGAAGGGGAACGTGGCCACCCTATTCAATCTCCCCTGCTTTCTTTCCCTCCCTTCCTCTCTTCCTCTCCCACTCATGTGGGACAAAGGGGGAGATTTTACGGAAGAATGAAAAGAAATAATTTTTTTAAGAACTCTTTGATCTGATCTGCTTTGGAACAAAGGGACTCTGAGAACCACAGAGGACCCTGAAATCAGAGTCTTATTTTTTAAAATTAAACTTTTTGAGATAAATGTAGATTCACACATGCAGTTTTAAGAAATACAGAAAGACCCAGAGTACCCTTTTCCCAGTCTCCCCTGATGGTACCATCTTAACTGTTATAGTATAATAACACAACCAGAATACTGACACTGATACAGCCAGGAAACAAAACAGTTCCATCACCACCCTAGTCCTATTTTTAACCTGTGTGGTAACACCCAACTTGATGATGAAAATCAGACTGCCTCTCAGCACAGAGGGACCAAATCTTCAGGACCACAGATAATGTGTCACGGATGCTCACCCTTCTGCGCCTTGGCACCACCTTAATAAGAAGTGACTTGGGAAGTTGACAGGCTCCAGTGGGACTCCCAACTGCCGAGCAATTGTCAAATAGAGCAGAGACATGCTGATTGGGATTCCTGTTCTGCGAATCAAAACCTAAAGCAGAAAAAATGCTTTTATTTCACTGGGATGAACTATACGTTCTCATTCTTTCAATAAACATTCTCATTAGGCACCTATTGTGCATTGGGCATGATGCTCATTTGTGAGGCTTAAGTGAGTATTTCACTTATTTAGGTCAGGGGTGGGTAAACTATGGTCCATGGCAATTCCAGTCCACCGGCTATTTTTGTACAGCCTGTGTAAGAAGAAGTTTTATGTTTTTTAATGTTTGAAAAAATAGTTAATACTATTCAAAGACATATGAAAGTAACATGAAACTCAAATTTCAATGTCCATATATACAGTTTTGTTGGACACAGCCATGCTCAGTTGTTTTTATATTATCTGTGCCTCCTTTTACACCACAGTGGCAGAACTTGGTGGTTAACAACAGAGACTACATGGCCCTCAATGCTGAAATAATTTTTTTTTTTTTTTTGAGATGGAGTCCCGCTCTGTTGCCCAGACTGGAGTGCGATGGCGCAATCTTGGCTCACTGCAACCTTTCGGGTACAAGCAATTCTCTTGCCTCAGCCTCCCGAGTAGCTGGGTTTACAGGCAACCGCCACCATGCCTGGCTAATTTTTTTGCATTTTTAGTAGAAACAGGGTTTCGCCATGTTGGCCAGGCTGGTCTCGAACTCCTGACCTCAGGTGATCCGCCCACCTCGGCCTCCCAAACTGCTGGGATTACAATGTAAGCCATCATGCCTGGCCAAAGCTGAAATAATTTACTGCCTGGCCTGTTACAGGAAAAGTTGGTCAAGCCCTGATTTAGGCCCTCCTTCTTCCAGAAAGTATTTAAGACTGTTCCAAGGAAAAGTGTGTACGATATAACAAAATAAAATGAAAGTAGCAGACAGGGCAACAAACTAAATATGAAAATGGAACTAGGCAGAAAGCAAATAAAAAATAAATATAACAGATGCAAACTTGACACAGCTGGGCCACAGGTTCTCCCAAATGGCTAGAGGCCAGTGCAAAGAGGACCCTGATTAGTTTTACAGTTTAGTGTTCACAAGATACAAACTGACCAAACAGAGTCAGAGAAATATCTATTTTTAGTCAAAAATTTATCTCAAGGGTTTGCATATGGAGGATACTCCATGAGGAAACAGATAAACTCCACAACAATATCCTTACAGCAGAAGGAAAAATAAGTTTCATCGAGCACTCAGAGATGGAAGGCATAGTACTGACCTTCAAGAATGTACGGTCCATCAGAGAGAAGCTTAAAAAAATACATATAGGATGGGCACAGTGGCTCACACCTATAATCCCAGCGCTTTGGGAGGCCAAGGCAGGAGGATCACTTGAGGCCAGGAGTTTGAGACCAGGCTGGGCAACATAGCAAGACCTCATTTCTACAAAAAATAAAAAATTAGCCGGGTGTGGTGGCATGTAGTCCTAGCTACTCAGGAGGGTGCGGCGGCAAGATCGCCTGAGCCCAGGAGTTTGAGGTTGCGGTAAGCTATGATCGCGCCACTGCATTCCAGCCTGAGCAACAGAGCGAGACCCTGTCTCTAAAAACAGAAAAAAAAAGTTACTATACCTATATTACTATACCCATATATTACTGTACCTATATTTACCTGATGCATATATAAGTTGAGGGCATTATAGTAATCCATTCGATTCCCCTTGAACTTCAGTTGGTCGTAAAGGACATAGTTCATGGCATCCAGCACCTGGCTCTGGAGTTCTATTTCCATTATCATGGATGATTCACCTGAAACACAGAGATCTACTCTGGGACCCAAGCACAAAAAAGGTTGTGACAGGTGCCCCAAACAACTCACAACATGAAGACATTGGCAATGGCCTAACAATATTAATCAAGTGTTGCCAATCTAGGAAGCAGAAGGCAGTATGTATTTGAAGTGTTTTAGGTTCAACACTTCAACCAGGTAAACACGTGGTCACGTCATTTTATCACTTTTTCATGACATAATGGCAGCACACTAACAAATCTCTCAAATTAACCAATTCCTCTAGATTTTCTTTCATAAATACAGCTGGATCCAAAGCAATGCCACACCTGCCTTGAAGGCCAAGCTGGGGTGGCGACTGTTTATGCCCCGAAGGGTTTTGCAAACAAGCTCCACGATGCTGTCAATTTGGGCCTGGATGTCTTTGAGGCTGATGTCGGAGAGAGGATTGCAGTACTGGTCAATATATACAGCACCTGAAAATGAACAAGAATTACCGAATAAATTCTCACGTTACCCTTTTCTTATTAGTTTGCAATTTTACCCTGGACATCCTGGGACATGGCTCTTTACACCATCCCACTGGACAAGCTTCATGTTTTGGCCATGGACCTTGCTGCTAACACACTGAGAAGGAGCAACAAACATTTTCATAACAAAGTAGCTTTAACTTTAAAAAAAAAAATACATAAATCAAACTTCTCTCAGAAGTCATGGACTAAAAAACTGCGTGGTATATGGCGCAGTTTCATGTTCTATTACAAAGAGAAGTAAATGACATCAAGGAGATCTTTTCAAGCTACTTCTCTCTCCCTAGCTGTTATAGGTTCCAAATCCAACAACTCTGAAAACTTAATGGTATAAGGCAGTTCCTTTAAAAAAACAAAACAACAAAAAAAAACAACTTGAAAGCCCTCCATGACAGATGTGCCATTTCAACAAATTACACATCTCAAGGGTGAACAGTAAATGGATTCTGGAGCTAACCCCACTTTCCAATGAGATAAACAGTTATGCTCGGGGAACCTACAGCTGAAAAGCTGTGCAGAGCACACTGCAGACAGTCTCTTAAGAATCACTCCTCTTCACAGTCTTAGGTAATTTTGGAAGCAGAGACTGAAGGGCTAACAGCATCATTTGGGTAAGGACACCGTTATGTGGGAAGCTCTCGAGTCACCTTAAATTAAAGAGATCTCAGACCAGCTCAGAACCTGGACTCCCTTACCAATGCTCCAGAGCTCAAAGCAGTTGAACGGGTGTCAAGACACCTCGACCCCAGTCCCAGTGTTGCCACCAGCCAGGGACTGTCTCCTCGGCCTCCGAGGGCCCCAGCTTCCCTACCTGGAAGCTGAAGCAGTTTATGCTGCACATTTCTGAAGTCCGTTCCTTCCTAATGCTATGATTCCCAGACTTCTTCGATGGCATCAGCATTATTCCAGTCAGTCACCAAGGATCAGAAACTTGGAGAGCCAACTGTCATTCACTCAACTACTAAACAACTTCCAATGGCTTCTCAATGCTTATGACACTGATGTGGAAGTTCTTTGAAAATTATAACTTTGTATTTAGAAAATGAAAAAGGAGTATTTGTTTTCATACATAAGCTACAAAAAAATATACTATTCTTAACTGTGAAATAAACAGAAGATAGGATGCTTCTCAACTCCAGTATACAAATGAGGGGATTCTAGCAGTGAGAATTTATTTTAATCAACTGAAACAGATGTTTCATTTCCTTTTGGATGATACTAGGTTTTCATACACTTGATAAACATTTACACTAAGCATTGTGAGGTATACAGTGATCCTAACACAAGGACCACAACACGGGAAGCTTAGGGACTAGTTACAGAAACAAATGTATACACAGGAAACAGAAAAAATGCAAGACAGCTTACTATTAAATGCTACTGTAGCTCTGAGGTGAGTAAAATCTCCAAGTAGTCAGTGGAAATTTAATGGAAGTGAGGCTTGAGCTGAATTATGGAGGGGGAGTAGGATTTTCAAGAGGGATTATGAGAAGGAGGGATATCATGAATGAGGAAGTGAAGCCAGGTGTATTTGTGGGGCACCAGTCTAGACAATGGCCTGGCTGGAGCAAATGGGACATCCTGGAGAGTACGGAGCAAAGGTCTGGACCAGATTATGCAGGGCATTGAAAAGCAGGTAGAGGTTAAATATAAAAGGGAAATCAGTTGTCCACATTGCAGGTTTCACATGCAGTGGTGAAGGCTAGATTTCTAATGGGGCTGGCACTGGTATTTTGGCTGACTTGGAGGGAAGGGGGGGTAATGTTCATGAAAGCAAGTATTACTCAGAAAGTTGTTGCCAGGAGAGGTGGCCATAGACTGCATGAGACTAGTTACAGAAGCCAGCCAGGTGTGGTGGCACTTGAGCACGGGAGTTTGAATCTAGCATAGGTGACATAGCAAGACCCCGTCTCTAAAAATAAATACATTTTTTTTAAAAAAAGGAATAGTAACAGAATGGGAACATGACTATGAGATACACTGGAATGGAAAAAAAAATCAACAATCTGGTAAAACATCAGAAGTAGGGAATAAAAGTAAACGACCAGTCATATTTGTATTTCATAACCATAATTTATGGGAATGTTTGTGTAATATTGTAGGAATTCAAAATCATTTTAAAAAAAATGGAAGTCTCACTTTGTTCCTGTTCAACTTAATAAGAACAAAAAGATTCTCCACTCCCTTCATCTTGCCTGTCCACTCAACTTCTTCCTTCTCACCTTTCATTACGGACAAGCAGACTCACTGATGCCCAAGAACATTCTGTCCTCAATAAACTCCAACCTGAGAGGTTAAGGGATTTACTCAAGGTCACAGGGAGACAAAATTGGATACATTTACTTCTGATTTGGAAATGATCATTAAAGCTCGGAAAAACAGGAATTTACTTCATTAGCTAAAGTATCACTCTCACATTTTAAGCCAATGATGCATCTTTAAAAAACACTATTTCTTTAGTGGACTTTGATAAAATCTTAGCTCTAAATTTAATAGTTTGAACTACCTCATTGATCAGGCCCTATAATCCAACCTGCAGAAGCCCACGCAACATGATTTGCTTTTTCACTTCTTTACCACAAGGAACACAATTCCCTCTGCTGGTCTTAAAAAACTAATCAGTTACCTACAGAAATACTACTGTCCACATATATGGGAAAAGACCCACCTTCAAGATACGACTCATAGTCATCTGGCTGCTGAAGAAAGGCCTTAAGATTATTTAAGATCTTCTGTTGCCGC
Organism: Homo sapiens; assembly: GCF_000001405.40. Classification (NCBI taxonomy): domain Eukaryota; kingdom Metazoa; phylum Chordata; class Mammalia; order Primates; family Hominidae; genus Homo; species Homo sapiens. Next base: position 117,177,594 of record NC_000012.12, read on the forward strand.
AGGTAGTAAAGAATTTTTTTTGCGTAGTATTTCCAGGTCAAAGCTTTTCTGGAAACAAAAAGTCAGTAAGAATTAAGATTTGAAAACTTTCAGTTATCTATTTTTCACATTACACTAACATACCATGTAGTTTGCTTAACAAGAAAAATATAATTGGTTCATTCTCTTATAATAATTATAATGGAAATAGCAGTCTTTGAATTGTAATATAATACTAAATTAGTTGTACTGAAATCTGAGGAACAGTTATCTGCCTGGCTTCAGACTTACTTGCCTGTATCTTTCATAAAAGGAAATGGAAGAGCAGCCTGAAAAAGGAATTGAGCTGGGGGAGGTTCAGAAGATGGGGAGGCATCTAGAACCTTTTGCTGGTCCCCCTGCTTGGGCCACTTGGGCCTGGGCACTCACTGCCATGGTGAGTTCCTCACGGTTTCACATATTATGAAAACTCCTATTTTCCAGACCAGAGTTCTCTCTTGAACTCTAGACCTTTGTATCAACTACTATCCATCTACTCCACATCCCACTCAGATAGCTGAGCACTTTCATCTTTCTTCCCCTCCCAGAGTCACCCTCATCTCTGATCAAGGCATCTCCATCATTCTAGTGAGGCATAAAACCTGCGAGTCATCCTGGATGCCTTGCTTTCTCTCATAAGCCATACTTAAGACCTGTCAGCCAATGCTATCGGTACTATCTTCAAATTACATCCAAAATGTGCACACTTCCCAATTACTCCCACACACCACCATCAGCATTCCTGTGTTGCAGCAACATCCTCCTACCTCAGCTTCCCGCTTCAGACCTGGCCCCTCCACAGTCCATCCTCAATACGGCAGCCAGAGCACTGCAGTAACACGTACGGTCACGCCACCCAATCCTCGCCTCCAAGTCTCCAGCGGTTTCCCACCTCGCTCCAAGAAAAAGCCCAAGTCCTAAGGAGGACTTAAAAGGTCTCTTGAACTCTCGCCCCATTACCTCTCTGACCCCAATTCCTGCCACTCCCCCTCAGTCCAGCCACCCAAGCATTCCAGCTGTTCCTTTACTGTCTGGCGGGTGCTCACCTTAGTGCCCTGTTCTTCTGCCTGGAACATTCTCTCCAGAGACTGCAGTCTGTTCTCACCTTCTCCTAGGTTTCAACTCAAATGTCCCCTTGAGTAAGGCCCCCTACATTATTTTAAATGGTACCCCCTCACCACTCCCCTGCCTTCTTCCCCGATTATATTTCTCTATAGCATGTTTCATTTTCTAATGTAACCAATTTCTTAGTGCCCATCTCGCCCACTACAGTATAAGCCCCATGAAGGCAGGGATTTTTTTTGTGTTGTTCACTGCTGTATCCCTAGTGCCTAGAATAGCATCTGGCACATAGTAGATGTTCCATAACACTTGTTGAGTGGATAAAATTCTTCACCACATATCCCAAATACATATGGGGATTATAAGAAGCAGGAGAGAGACAGTGATGAAACTTATCTGGCTGACATCATGAAGAAACAAACAACTTGCCAATCTTGAGAGAGGTCAATGAAAATCTGCAGAATGATCTATGTTTCATCTACTTTTTAACCTTTGAGTTGTAAAATATATCAATCTAGAAAATTGTGTGAAACAAACAAGTAGCTTAATGAATCATTACAAGGCACATTCCTGGATCTAACACTCTTGCCAAGAAAGAAAACTTTGCAAACGGCCAAGAAGCCCTCCGGGGCCCCCCGCAACAATAATCACAAACCACACCTCTATGGTCATCACTTTCTTGCTTTTCTCTTTAGTATTACCATGAAATATACATCCCTAAACAGGCGAGTCTGTTTTGATGCCTTCTAAATCTCTTAATCTACAGGATCCTCCTCCATCTTTTTTTTTTCCCTTGCATTTTATTTGTTGAAGAACCTGGGTTGTTTGACCTGCAGTTTCCCATCGTCTGAAATTTGCTGACTGTACCCACATGATGTAGTTTAACATGTTCTTCTGTCTTCTGATCTCCTGTAAATTGGATGTAGAGGCTACATGAGATACAGATTCCATTAATTTAGCAAGATAATTTCATAGAAGGTAGTGCATTCTCCCATCAGGAGGCAATAATGCCTGGGTGTTTCTTTTGTGATGTCAGCAGCACTGCTACTCAATGTCTTGATCTGTTCATTCATTTGAGGTTACGAAGTGGTGATATTAAAATTCAATCAACCCTTCTTAATTCATTAGCTGGGATACTTCTATAAGGAAAAACCTCCCCGTCTATTATTTGATCCCCCATGATACAGTACATGGAAAAGGCAGGATAAATGCTCATATCTTCTATTTACAATTTTTCAAAACAATGATATGGGCTTCTATTTATCCTTCAAAGGTGACCAATTAATTTTTTAGTATTATGGACTCAGAGAGACAAGCATATTCGATGCATTTCAATCCATTCCTGTTATTATCCACACTGATGCTCTAACTGTCACATCTTTGGCCACTGGAAGCCTCTTCATATTGGTTCCTCAATACTTCCGACATAAAGTAGTGTCAGTTTTCTTACTATCTGGTTAGGTTTCCAGGATGCACCACCAGGCTCATCTTTTAAAATCCTTGCATTGGACATACAATCAGTCTTTCTCCAAAAACCCTGGCTTCTTTTGTGGAAAATGTTGTATCAAGATGACAATCTGGAAACCAGGGAAGATCAATTCCACTAGGTTGGTTATTATTTCTAGATCTTTTCAGCAAACAGACGTAGGAAGCCTAGTGTTGATGTGCACGTGTGTGTACATGTACATATGCACATGCACTTACATATACCTACATGTATTTAAATATAAAATACCTTTTGAGTTCACACTGGCACTTCTAATTCAAAAATATATGTCTCTGACCTTCTTCTATCTTATATCTATGTCTTCTTTATTCCAGGAGAATTCTGCTTCTCCAGGATATCACAGGTGGTAAAATTAGAATATCACATCGTTATTCATTTACTTCATTCCACATCTCTCTCTCATACACACACACCAGCCCTCAGAATAACAAGACTAATGTTTTCATCACTTTTTTTTTTCTTTTGAGACGGAGTCTCGCTCTGTCGCCAGGCTGGAGTGCAGTGGTGCGATCTCAGCTCACTGCAATCTCCGCCTCCCGGGTTCAACCTAGTCTCCTGCCTCAGCCTCCCAAATAGCTGGGATTACAGGCTGCATCACCACACCAAGCTAATTTTTTTTTTTTTATGTATTTTTAGTAGAGACGAGGTTTCACCATGTTGGCCAGGATGGTCTCAGTCTCCTGACCTTGTGATCCGCCTACCTCAGCCTCCCAAAGTGCTGGGATTACTCATCACTTTTATGATTACTGAAAACAGCTAAATATTTTGCATATGTTCTCCCCCACTGTCCATTCATTTTTTAAAACAGATGCATTGTATTTATACTGACATGTCTTACAGACGTTACACATGAAATATTTTCTCCCCTAGAGCCCTCATTTGAATTTAAATCTAAAAATAAATACATGTTTAGTGCTCACTGCCAGTCCTTATATCAGTGTTTCTCTGTTTTGTTTTTTTTGGGGCGGGGAGTGGTTTTTGGTCATTTGAAATTCATTTTCCAGGAGATCTCTCAGGAAGGACTGAAAAGTCACTGAATTCTTGTTAAGTTGTTAAGTTTCTGTGCAGTCTTTGTATCTGGAAGTCAGTTTGGCTGGATATAAAAATCCTTGGTTGACATTTCCTTAGATCATTGAGTATCTTAAGCTATTTTTTCCTTTGGCACAAAAAATTCTGTTGAAAAGTCTGATGATATTCTTATTTTCTTTTCCTTATAAATGACTTTACCTTTTTTGCTTGGATGCTCAAAGGACTTTCCTGTCTTTAAAATCCAGCAATTTTACTAAAGTATGTCTCAGTATTGGTCATTCTGTGACACTTTTCTCAGGTACAATGTATGAATTTATCTATCTATCTATTTATATCTATCTATCTATCTGAGACAGTCTATCGATCGATCGATCTATCTATCTGAGACAGTCTATCTATCTATCTATCTATCTATCTATCTATCTATCTATCTATCTAATCTAGCTATCTATCTATCTGAGACAGAGTCTCACTTTGCCACCCAGGCTGGAGTGCAGCGGCATAATGTCAGCTCACTGCAACCTCCACTTCCCAGGTTCAAGCGATTCTCTTGTTTCAGCCTCTTGAGTAGCTGGGATTACAGGTGCCTGCCACCATGCCCGGCTAATTTTTTGTATTTTCAGTAGAGACGGCGTTTCTCCATGTTGGCCAGGCTGGTCTCGAACTCCTGACCTCAGGTGATCTGCCCACCTCAGCCTCCCAAAGTCATGGGATTACAGGTGTGAGCCACTGTGCCTGGCCCAGTGTATGCCCTTTTAATATGCTGTTTCTAATCTTTATTGTAGGACATACTCGTTTTTAAGACCACATAGCACATCATAAACACAAACTGATTTCAAGCTGATACTTTGGCATTTATGGAAACTACACTTTTTCCTTCCCATGCTTTCCATATCCAAACCATAAGCATTTGCCAGGAATGAAAACAAACAGGGTCTTCCATGAAAACTGGTATCCCAAAATATTTTTAAATGCGGGGTATTCTATCATTTAAAAACAACCTTATTTGTTTGTTGGCTCACACTTATAGTCCTAGTACTTTGGAAGGCCAAGGTGGGAGGATCACTTGAAGTCAAGAGTTCAAGACCAGCCTGGGAAACATAGTGAGACACTGTCTCTACCAAATAAAAATTAGCCAGGCATGATGGTACATGCCTGTATTCCTAGCTACTCAGGAGGCTGAGGCCAGAGGATCCCCTGAACACAGGATTCAAGGTTACAGTGAGCCATGATTGCACCACTGTACTCCAGCCTGGGCAACAGGATGAAACCCTGTCTCAAAAAAACAAACAGGGCTGGGCGTGGTGGCTCACACCTGTAATCCCAGCACATTGGGAGGCCACAGCAAGAGGATCTTTTTTTTTTTTTTTTTTTTTTTGGACCGAGTCTGTCGCCCAGGCTGGAGTGCAGTGGTGCAATCTCAGCTTACTGCAACCTCAGCCTCCCAGGTTCAAGCAATTCTCCTGTCTCAGCCTCCCGAGTAGCCGGGATTACAGGCGTGTGCCACCATGCCCAGCTAATTTTTGTATTTTTAGTAGAGGCAGGGTTTTACCATGTTGGACAGGCTGGTCTTGAACTCCTGACCTCAAGTGATCAACCCGCCTCGGCCTCTCAAAATGCTGTGATTACAGGCGTGAGCCACCATGCCTGGCTGGGAAGATCTCTTGAGGCCAGGAGTTTAGTAACTGCCTGGGCAACAAAGCAAGACTCCATCTATACAAAAAATAGAAAAAATTAGCCAGGTGTGGTGGCAAGTGCCTGTAGTCCTAACTACTCGGGAGGCTGAGGCAGGAGGGTCACTTGAGCCCAGGGGTTTGAGTCTGCAGTGAGCTATGATTGCGTCACAGCATTCCACCCTGGGTGACAAGAGTGAGACTCTGTTTCTAAAACAAACAATCCTTTTTTAAGGTCAAAATATGTGTGTTGGGTAACCTATTCGTATTTATTTCTAAAAACACTATAATATATGTCTTTACTAGCTATGCATTTTCATCTTTTTTGGGAACCTGATATGTAAAATGGCAGTATCTCATTGCTGTTTAACACTTTTTTTTTTTTGAGACGGAGTTTCACTCTTGTCACCCAGGCTGGAATGCAATGGCGCGATCTCGGCTCACTGCAACCTCTGCCTCCCACGCCTCCCAGGTTCAAGCAATTATCCTGCCTCAGCCTCCCCAGTAGCTGGGATTACAGGCACCTGCCACCATGTCTGGCTAATTTTTGTATTTTTTGTAGAGACAGGGTTTCATCATGTTGGCCAGGCTGGTGTCGAACTCCTGACCTCAGATGATCCAAGGACTTGGCCTCCCAAAGTGCTGGGATTACAGGCGTGAGCCACTGCACCCGGCCTATTTAACACTTTTTGAATAGTGTATTAAAAGTTTTCCGTGATTGTTAGATGTTAGGATTTGTTCTTCTGTGAATGTCATCCTCCTAACCTTTGAACATTTTTCAATATCTCTTGAGTTCTACTGACTTCGTTCATGCTCTCTTGGCCATATAGAAGTGTCTGCTCTTTCACTGTCTCCGCATTGTCCTTCTTGGTTAAGGTGGTCTCCCTTAGACTATACAAAGTCTCCTATTTTCTTGAGGAATGTTCACTGTGATCATTTAAAAATTTCAGTTGTTTCATCCTTTGGAAAAATGTTTGCATATGATGCACGTTTTCCTTTCTTCCAGCTGGATATTCAGTTATGTCCAGTACCATTTCTTTAAAAATCCATTTTTTCCCTCTGAGTTTAAATATATTAAATTATCTTTTATTCTGGGATGCATTTGTCAATTATCCTCTGCTACTGATGCAGCTATTTTTATTGAATCACTGTGCTGTTTGGATTATAAGTAGCTTTATAAGATGGCCTAATATCTAGTGATGCCAGTTTCCCATTATGATTACTGAAAAATTGTTTTCTGGCTCTTCTTGTGAATTTAGTCTTCTGTATATATTTTATGACATCCAAATGAAAGAAAAGAAAAAAGCAAAACAACTCCCCCCTGCTCACCACCCCCAACAAAAATACTTTGTTTGAATCCTAATTGGAATGACACTAGGTTTATAAATTAATTTGGGGAGAACTGACATTTTTTGTGATAGCAAGTCTTCACATTCCAGGACATGCTATCTATTTTATGTCTTTCAATAACATCCTATAGTCTGAACTGGGAAACCCATTCCCAGGACTCTACTGCCTAGAAACATCACTCCTCACAGTGACACAAAATGGAAAAAAAAGTGGTTGTCCATCTATAGGAAAATTATGTAGGCTAGGCACGGTGGCTCACGCCCATAATCTCAGCACTCTGGGAAGCCGAGACCAGCAGATCACGTGACATCAGGAGTTTGAGACCAGCCTGACCAAGAGGGAGAAACACCGTTTCTACTAAAAATACAAAATTAGCTGGGTGTGGTGGTGGGCACCTGTAATCCCAGCTACTCAGGAGGCTGAAGCAGGACAATCTCTTGGACCCAGGAGGCAGAGGTTGCCAAGATCACGCCATTGCACTCCAGCCTGGGCTACAAGAGCGAAATTCCATCTCAAAAAAATAAAAATAAGTAAATAAATTATGTAACATACCACAAAAGAGTAAGTAGACATTAACAATAGTGATTTTGATGTTTTACCCGTTGAAGAGGATGGATTTCCATAAGGTACTGTTGAATGAGAAAAAACAATATAGAAAAGTACCTATTATGTGATCCCAATTTTGTGCAATAATGATCCCTTCCCATACTCATCACTGTCAGCAAGAAGAATGCAACCTGGGCTGTTATCAAGAATTACAGAGGTGGGGGCAGGAAAGGACAATGTAAACAGAGGGAATGGGGAGGAAAAAGGAAACAGCATAAATAAGAGAAAAACCAGGTCTGTACTAAACACCAAACCAAAACAACCAACAAAGTAGGTATGAGGTCCCATTTATGTATTTTAAAGTACATATGCACATTAAAAAACACAAGTCAGCTTTTATTTTTAAGACTGCACAATACTGACTACTAGATCATACTTCAATTCATTTATAGATAAACCAAAATAGAAATGGAAAAATGACCTCTGCATCTGAACTCATCCAAGGCCTAGAATAGTGACACATCTTACCTCTACCCACAGTTGTTCCACTGATAGATATTTCTCTCTCCTAAATCCCCTTTAAAAAACAACATAAATATTTCATGCCTTGTTTGTGAGATATTTCGCAAAGATTCCTTTTAAGGAAGATGTTAAACTAACATTCTTATCTTCCATCACTAGAAAGTTTTCAGAACTTTTAGAACAGAAAGTCTTTTCCACAGGAAAGTTAGGCTGGAAGCCCACTCATCTTTCAGGGAAAAACTGGAAATTAACCTTCACAGCAGAAAATAAAAGGTATATGAAATTTTAAGCAATAACCAAGACATAAGGGGTTCTTCTTGATCAAGTGAGTCCCTAAGTACGCAGTTTTCTGACTGGAAGATAAAAGAAAGGCTCACCCAAAGATCTACAGTGTTCAAAGAACAAAGTAGATTATTTTGTACCGCAATTCAGAAATTGTAAAAAATCATCCATTAAATTAAGACATGCCTAAGAAATTATTATTTTTAAATTAAAAGATTCAATTCATGATAGGCAAATCTGATAGTAAGTGGAGAGGTAATAATGAAGGAAGGATGATTTATATTACCAGAAGGTTTCTTTTTTTTATGAGACGAAGTCTTGCTCTTGTCCCCCAGTCTGGAGTGCAATGGTGCAATCTCGGCTCACTGCAACCTCCACCTCCCGGGTTCAAATGATTCTTCTGCCTCAGCCTCCCGAGTAGCTGGGATTACAGGTGTGTACCACCACACCCAGCTAATTTTTTGTATTTTTTTAAGTAGAGATGGGGTTTCACCACGTTGGCCAGGCTGGTCGCGAACTCCTGACTTCAGGTGATCCGCCCATCTCGGCCTCCCAAAGTGCTGGGATTACAGGCGTGAGCCACCGTGCCTGGCCTATTACCAAAAGGTTTCTAAACAACACAACAGATACAAGGGTCTGGGGCACAGTATTTGACCCATAGTAGTGCTAAACATTAATTCCATTTTCTTTCCAAAAGGATTTTTGTAAGGTTTCTTTATATGTCAATTGTCTTGGTGTATCTACCTAATATACACAGAACTTTTCAAAACTGTAACTATGACAAGGCGTGAAATATTTGGAATCACATATTCCAGGGTTTAGCCACACAGAAATTACAGCAATTTACTCTGGACTTATTAAAGCAAACAAATCCCTGCTAAAGCTATGGCTTACCTTCCTTCCATATTTAGGATACACACCAGTTCATCCTCAAAAAAAATCTCTGGTCCTTCAAGGTTCTCAATGTCACTGAAGCCATTACAAGGAACCTATGAAGAAGACATATACAAGTAGGCCTCAATTATGAGTATTGATGCAACTCTCACTCTCACAAATTTGAGCTGAAATAAAGATGTCCACTACTAAAGACAGTGCTAACAGTTATTCTACACTACCTTGCACTACCAGTCATGGGTAGAAAATAACATAAAGTAACAATAATTTACTGAGGTTTTGTTGTTGTTTGTAATCAATGATGTTTTCATAGACTGGAATTTCTGAAACTGACAACTCACAGTTCTAACGTAAAGAAAACTAGCTCTGGCCGGCCATAGTGGTTCATGACTGTAATCCCAGAACTTTGGGAGGCCAAGGCAGGCAGATAACCTGAGGTAAGGAGTTTGAGACCAGCCTGATCAACGTGGTGAAACCCCATGTCTACTAAAAATACAAAATTAGCCAGGCATGCCTGTAATCCCAGCTACTTGGGAGGCTGAGGCAGGAGAATCACTTGAACCCGGGAGGCGGAGGTTACAGTGAGCCAAGATTGCGCCATTGCACTCCAGCCTGGGCAACAAGAATGAAACTCCGTTTTAAAAAAAATAAAAAGGCGGCGGCGGCAGGTGCAGTGGCTCACGCCTGTAATCCCAGCACTTCGGGAGGCTGAGGTGGGCGGATCACCTGAGGTCAGGAGCTCGAGACCAGCCTGACCAACATAGAGAAACCCCATCTCTACTAAAAATACAAAATTAGCCAGGCGTAGTGGCGCATGCCAGTAATCCCAGCTACTCGGGAGGCTGAGGCAGGAGAATCACTTGAACCTGGGAGGCAGAGGTTGCGGTAAGCTGAGATCACACCATTGCACTCCAGCCTGGGCAACAAGAGTGAAACTCTGTCTCAAAAAAAAAAAAAAAAAAAAAAAAAAGATCTTCTGAGTTTAAAATTCTATGGCTTCTCTCAGTTTTCTTTTTGCAAGTAGCCAGAACATTTCAGGTCAACCTGTGTGCATTCTGAGAACACAGGAACGCCAAGATCCCGGGCCAAAGCAATCACCCACCCACAGATTAATGTTAAGTATGCTCCCGCTGTGTTCAAAGTCCTTGACATACTTCTAATTAAGCAGTGGTACAGGAAAAGGGGGAGCTGAGGAAAAAACACAACAATCCATCATTATTACACAGAGGCACAGACTGTTCAAAACATACACAAAACCAGCTGGACTAGAAATGGAGGTTGCAGGCTCATAGTCCATGACCAACTGCACCAAACATAGCTAGTACCAAAATCTACGTATGTGCAAACACATTCAGATCAGCATTTACAATTTGTGATTATGAATGCTTTTAGCCAGGGCATGGCTTCTCCAAAGTAAAATACAAATTTTGTTTATTCTAACACTAATAAATATTTATAGAAACCAATTACACTAAGGAATGTCTATTTGTATTCTCCATAGGGGAAAACATTCAAATTTGTCCAAAGTTCAAATTTTCCCTTTCAAAACTTGAAAAGCCTTGAAAACATTTCAAATTATTAACTCCATTAACTAACAGTAATTAAAATTAGAGAATCCAAAGGAGTCTTTAGGAAAACAAAAAAGTGAAATAAATCAGATTGGCTCTATTTCTAGAACCCCAACCAGAAATAAATATCGAATAGTTTGTTGAACTCAAAACATTAGTGTGGATTATTTTCCAGAGTTACAAAAAGGGATCAGGGGCAGATACAGAAACTTCCGTGAGGCCAGGCACGGTGGCTCACGCCTGTAATCCCAACACTTTGGTTTGCAGAGGCCGGCGGATCACTTGAGACCAGGTGTTCAAGACCAGCCTGACCAACATGGTGAAACCCCAACTCTACTAAAAATACAAAAATTATCCAGGTATGGTGGCGCATGCCTGTAGTCCCGGCTACTCGGGAGGCTGAGACATGAGAATTGCTCGAGCCCAGGAGTAGGAGGTTGCAGTGAGCTGAGATTGCGCCACTGCACTCCAGCCGGGGAGACAAAGCAAGACTCTGTCTCAAAAAAAGAAAAAAGAAAGAAACTTCCATGAGACATTTTGAGGAAAGAAAAAAAGAAAACAAAACAAAACAAAACAAAAAAAACCCACCATGTATTTCTGCAATACTTAAAAAAAAAAAAAAACCCAAAAACTTTTCAGGGATAATGAATGCAAGACAATTCATTTCAGGGAGTAATAACTCTGATTTATAGGTAGCTTTTAATCCTCTGTTACCTTAACAAATAATGCAGTTCACTACTGGGTAGAACCTGCAAAGCCAGAGAGAAGAACCACATTAATTTCGTCAACCCTTCTGGGAAAACAACCGGGAGAAATTTACAGTGTTCAATCATTGATGATTCCCCAAATAACGGAGGGGTTGCAAAAAAAATCCGTTGAACCCATTTGAGAAATAATGCTGATCTGGACTCCGTCTACATTGTGCTGCGTGGGTCCCTCCCTGCTCCCTCCACCCCCACTCTCTCTCTGGCTTTAGAAAAGTAAAGCTGGCACAGACAAATGGCTTCGTGTTGTTGGATAGGAGGAAAAGGACACAATGACTCTTGCAGCCATCTAAGTGAGTAAGGGATTGTGAGAGCATTGAAAAGGGAGATACGAAAAGAGCTGGATGAGCTCATGCCTGCAGACCCAGACACATACACCAGCAAGCCAAAGCTTAGAGCCACATCAACAGATCCTTACGTGCTCTGAAAAGAACCTCTTTGAGAACGAGGCTACAATCTTCCGCGCTTCTAACCCAGCTTTTTGCCGAACTTTATACTCTTCCAACCAATTGACGTAGTCGGTGGGGCTGTAGTGTTTCATAAGGGAAGGCCACCTACGAGGAGAGAAACACCCCCTCAGCTTAACAGAAACTCAAAGGCAGGCGGCCACGAATCCAAGGCAGCCTTGGAAACAGGGACAGCAGTGGCGTCCAGTGGTAAGAGGGACCCCGGCGAGAGACCTAGTTCAAAACCCCACCAGCATTCACTCACTCACTCCCGGTGTGACCTTGGCGTAGCGGCATGAATGATGTCTCCATTCCCCATCTCTAAAATGGGGACAGTTGTAACAACAACAACAATAATAATAATGACAATGACAGTGAGCACTGATTGAGCGCCTCCTAGGAGCCGGGGCCCTGCGTGCGTGCCTCCCGGACATCATCTAATTTAATAAACACGGTGAAAGGTAGGTCTAATGATCACCACCACTCAAAGTCTATGAACGAGGCTCAAAAAAAGGGAAGTCGCTCCCCCCAAGGTCACAGAGGGAGTGTGCAGGGCCAGATTTCATCCTGGGGCCACGCTGAAATCTGTGCCGTCCACAACCAGCCCGGGGATGCTGCGCCCGCCCGATCGATGCATCACTGGGTCCATGTAAACATTTCAGCCCGAAGTCGGGCACAAAAGAAGCGCGCAAAAGGGACGAGCCGCGCCGCCGCCAGCGTCACCCTTGACGGAGGACCCGGCTGCGAGGCGCTCCTAGATGCGCCATTTGGGGACCCGGGGGTCCGCCTGGCGTGGCCCCGCAGGGTCCGGGGCCTGGAGGCCTTTGTCTGTCTGTCCGCGGGAAGGGGTCCGGGGTGGGGTCCGCGCGCGGGGCGGCCGCGGGGAGCTAGCGGGGCGGCTGCCCGGCCCCGGGGGGCGCGGGGCGGTGGGCGCGCAGCCGGGGCGCGGGGCCGCTGGCTCACCTCACCCGGAACTGCTCCTTCCACACCTTCCCGCTGCTCTGGCACAGCTCGCGCAGCCGCCGGCAGGTGCTGGAGACACGGCCGATGTCGGCGGCCGTCAGCGAGCCGCAGCACAGGATGTACTCCAGCACCTCACCCGGCAGGTTGACGAGGCAGCTGAGGCCCGCTACCTCCGGCGCGGCCTCCTCCGCCAGCGCCGGCACCACCTCCATCGCGCTGTCGACTGCTGCCGCCGCCATCTTGTCCGCGTACCTGGGGCCGCCGCGCGCGCGCGTGCGAGAGTGCCCGGGCGCCCCGCCTGGCCCCGCCTACTGGTCTTGGGGGCGAGTCCTGAGATCGCTCCGCCCATCCGCGGGCCACACCTCCCCTGCATCGGCTGGGGGCTGCGCGGGTGGCAGCGCCGCAAAAGGGAGGACATAATTGGGCTCTGTGCTTGGAGCCGGCAGCGCAAGCCGCCTCTAGTCCGGGACAACAATAGTAGCACTGATTCTTTTAAACGTAATTAATGTTTAAAATTAACAAATAAAAATGGTATCTATTCTCACGCGTGCTGAGCGCTTTCTGTGCGCATTGGACCTTTCCGAATTACCCTGCGAACTTTCTCCCCATATTACAGATGGGGAAACAGGTTCGGAGAGTGAGAGGGCTTGCTCAGGATCCCTTGTCTTGGATTTTTTTTCCCCCTTTGGGAAGGAGTCTTGCTCTCACCCAGGCTGGAGGGCAGTGGCGCTATCTCGGCTCACTGCAACCTCTGCCTCCTGGGTTCAAGCGATTCTCCTGCCTCAGCCTCCCGTGCGGATGGGATTACAGGCGCGCGCCACCACCCAGGTTGGAGTGCAGTGGCCGTGATCTCGGCTCACTGCAACTTCCACCTCCCTGGTTCAAGCAATTATCCTGCGTCAGCCTCCCGAGTAGCTGGGATTACAGGCGCCCGCCACCACAGCCAGCTAATTTTTGTATTTTTAGTAGAGACAGGGTTTCACCATGTTGGTCAGGCTGGTCTCGAACTCCTGACCTCAAATGATCCACCCACCTCGGCCTCCCAAAGTGCTGGGATTACAGGCGTGAGCCACCGCGCCCAGCCCCTTGTCTTGGATTCTATTTCAGATCCACTTGACTTTTGCTTGTCAGTAATCTTAACCATATGATGTAATAATAACAATATTCTTGAGTGGGTGCTATGGGAAGCCCTCTATGATGGTGTAGGGGAGTAATAATAATCCTCAAATGTGTGCCCTGATTTTAGGCTAATAGAGGGCAGGCAGAGAGCTCTCCTGTACTGGTTTCTTAATTGTTTCCAGCTCAACAATCCTTCATATTTGGGGAGCATAGTCTGACCTCCCACAATAGGTACCACAGTTATACCTATTCTACAGAAAAGGCAAAGTTCTTCCAGGTGGCAGTCACTGGTTCAAAGTTACAGAGACAAAAGTGCTAAAGCCTGGATTTGAGTCTTCAAAGCGGGAGTTATCACTCAGGATTGGGAGGGTAGTCTCAGGATCTGCACATTAAAAAAAAAAAATCAGTTTAGTTCAGTGCCAAAGCCCTGTGTTGTGTGCCCTGGGGATACAGGGGTGAGAAAAATGGAGTCTTTGCTTCAAAACCTCAAAGTGCAATTACAGTTAGAAGGATCTGTTGTCAGTACATGGAGGGTCCAATGAAGTACTCCTGGCAACTTGGAAATCAAGATGCCCTGAGAGAGCTGAACTAGTAAAGTGACTCTCAATGGATGGCGTTGAGCCATCTGTGGCTCCCTATTTCCCGTAGAAATGAATGTGACATCCCAAACATTGTTGCAAAGCAACAAACTCCACCTCTTCTTACCTATCTGAAGTCTTTCTCTCTCACTAGCCATGCATACCCCAGCAAGGCTGGTCATCTCTTTCCTCCCATTTCTGGCCCTACATATACTATTCCTGCTGCCTGCAAGGCACTTCATGCAGTCCTCCCCTTCCAGTAGCTCCTCCTCTTCCTCCAGGGCTCAGCTTAACCTTTCCAAATGCTCTCCCTTCCCCCGCCCCAGCACCAGCACCAGATATGGCTCCTGCCCAGCATTTTGCAGTCTTGTAATTACTTAACTTACAACTATTCAACATGCATCTTTCCCACTAAATCTGAAGGGAGTTCAGTGCTAGGACTGTGTCTGAGTCACCTCTAGAAGCCTAGTTACTTGACCCATGCCCTGCACAGAGCAGATTCTCAATTATCTATTGATTGCGATAGTCTAACCAGCTGTTTGACTAGGGAAGTTACTTAGCCTTTCTGAGGCCCAGTTTTTTATCTGTAAAATGGGAATAATAATTAATAATAATAATGCCTGTCTCCTGGGGCTGTCATGAGAATTAAATGAGGAAATTCATGTGAGGGGCATAGAACAGTGGCTGGTATAGAAAAAATCCTTGAGCCGGATGCGGTAGCTCACACCTGTAATCCCAGCACCTTGGGAGGCCAAGGCAGGCAGATCACCTGAGGTCAGGAGTTCGAGACCAGCCTGACCAACATGGTGAAACCCCATCTCTACAAAAATGCAAAAACTAGCCGGGCATGATGCCAGGTGCCTGTAATCCCAGCTACTTGCGAGATTGAGGCAGAAGAATCGCTTGAACCAGGGAGGTGGAGGTTGCAGTGAGCCGAGATCATGCCTTTGCACTCCAGCCTGGGTGACAGAACAAGATGCTGTCTCAGAAAAAACGAAACGAAAAAAAAATTGCTTGACAAAACTGTGTGGGAAGCAGGGAGAAATGGCTCAATGGATATGGGTTTTTTGGTTTGTTTGTTTGTTTTTTGAGGCAGAGTCTCACTCTGTTGCCCACGCTGGAGTGCAATGGCACGATCTCGGCTCCCTGCAACTTTGGCCTCCTGGGTTCAAGAGATTCTTCCGCCTCAGCCTCCCGAGTAGCTGGGATTACAGGAGCATGCCACCATGCCTGGCTAATTTTTGTATTTTTGTAGAGACAGTTTCACCACGTTGGCCAGGCTGGTCTTGAACTCCTGACCTCATGATCTACCTGCCTCGGCCTCCCAAGGTGCTGGGATTACAGGTGTGAGCCATCGTGCCTGGCCTGGATATGGATTTACTTTGGGGTGATGGAAATGTTTTGGAAGTAGATAGAGGTGGTGGTGGTGGTTGCACAGCATTGGGAATATACTAAATGCCACTGAATTGTTCTCTTTAAAATGATTAAATTTTACCAGCATGGCGGCTTAAACCTGTAGTTCCAGTTACTCGGGAGGCTGAGGTGGGAGGATCACTTGAGCCTAGGTGTTCAAGGTTGCAGTGAACTATGACTACACCATTGCACTCCAGCCTGGGTGACAGAGCAAGACAAGACAAAGCCTTTGTGACTCCACTGTCTCCCGGTTCTCCTCTCACCTCTGGGGCTGCACCTTCTCCATCTTCTTTGCAGCCACTCAGATGTTACATGTTGAGGTATCTTGGGCCTCAGCCAGCCCTCTTCTTTCACTATCTTGCCTCTGTCCACAACTCGAATGATGATCCAGATCCAATCGAAATATCCACATTTCTCTCTTCTGCCCCACCCGCTCCTCTGGGATCTAGTCTGGCTTAGCCTGCTCACCTGCCATTCCCTTTGGGCCCTTCAAACTCAACTTATCCAGGAGGAAACTCATGATCTTTCTTCTCCACTTTACCTTGTCTTCTCTTAGTAGTTCCTGCCTTAGGAAGGGCTACTCATTCATCCATTCCTGTAAAACATGAACTTGTCACCATCCTTGCTACCTCTTTCTCCCTCACCATCCATAACCAAATGCCCAACAGAGGTTAATTTCTGTAAGCCTCAGTTTCCTAATCTATAAAACAGGGATAAAAATCTATCTTGCTATTAAATAAGACATATACATCAGTTAGTATTGCTGTGTAACAAATAAACCCAAATTTAGTGACTGCTCTGTTTTTGGCAATGTGGGTACAAAGGTGAACAGGGTAAAGTCACAAATGCCCTGGTCACAGAGCCGAGATATTAGCATAGGTGACAGCGGATACCGCCAATACTATCAGGACTCATCAGTGCTATCCTTAGGCAGTGATAAGTACTGGGAAGAAAGAGATAAAACAGAGGAAGAATATGGAGAATGTGGACAGTGGCAGTCTCCTTTTTCTTTTCTCTTTCTTTTTATTTTCTTCTTTCTTTCTGTCGTCTCTCTCTCTCTTTCCTTCTTCTTTCTTTTTTCTTTTCTTTTCTTTTTTTTCTTTTTTTTTTTTTTGAGACAGAGTTTTGCTCCTGTCACCCAGGCTGGAGTGAAGTGGCATGATCTCTGCTCACTGCAACCTTCACCTCCCGGGTTCAAGAGATTCTCCTGCCTCAGCCCTCCAAGTAGCTGGAATTGCAGACATGTGCCACCACATCCAGCTAATTTTGTATTTTTAGTAGAGATGGGGTTTCACCATGTTGGCCAGGCTGGTCTTGAACTCCTGACCTCAGGTGATCCACCCACTTCGGCCTCCCAAAGTGCCGAGATTACAGACGTGAGCCACCATGCCTGGCTGGCTTTTTTTCTTTCTTTCTTTCTTTCTTTCTTTCTTTCTTTCTTTCTTTCTTTCTTTCTTTCTTTCCTTCTTTTTTCTTTCTTTCTTTCTTTCCTTCTTTTTTCTTTCTTTCTTTCCCTTCCTTCCTTCCTCTCTCTCTTTTCTTTGTTTCTTTCTTTTTTCTTTATTATTTTTTGAGATGGAGTTTCGCTCCTGTTGCCCAGGCTGGAGTGCAATGGCCGGATCTTGGCTCACTGCAACCTCCGCCTCCCGGGGTTCAAGTGATTCTCCTGCCTCAGCCTCCCAAGTAGCTGGGATAACAGGCATACACCACCACACCTGGCTAATTTTGTGTTTTTAGTAGAGATGGGATTTCTCCATGTTGGTCAGGCTGGTCTCGAATTCCCGACCTCAGGTGATTCGCCCACCTCAGCCTCCCAAAGTGCTGGGATTACAGGCATGAGTCACCGCGCCCGGCCTCTTTTTTTTTTTTTTTTTTTTGAGAGAGAGTTTCACTCTGTCATCCAGGTTAGAGTACAGTGGCGTCATCTCGGCTCACAGCAACTTCTGCCTCCTGGACTCAAGCCAGCCTCCCACCTTAGGCTCCTGAGTAGCTGGGGCTGCAGGCACACACCACCAAGCCCGACTAATTTTTGCATTTTTTTTTTGTAGAGATGGGGTTTCACCATGTTGTGCAGGCTGGTCTCCAATTCCTGAACTCCCGCCTCGGCTTCCCAAAGTGCTGGAATTACGGGTGTGAGCCATGGCGCCCAGCCTTCTTTTTCTTTCATTTTAACTTAAATTGTTTTCCTTGATTTATATTTGCAATATGAAATAGAAGCTTGGCACAAACACACACTCATGCCAGCCTGGGGAGAGAGGGCTAGGGACAAGATCACTTGGCAGCAGGGCTGGTACCCCAGATGCTTAGTTAGGATGGCAGGAGGGGGATCCCGAACCCTCACCCAGCCCCTCCTACCCTGGGGTCCATGAAATGTACAGAAGGGGAGAAGGAAGTATGGGATGTTGGTGAGAGTGTCCAGGGCCCGGTGGGATTGTATGAAAGAATGGCGCACACACAAAAGATTTACATACCTATCAAAGGGACAGAAGATATAATTACAAACACAAATTTTCTCAAGGAAATTCTCCAAGAAAGGAAGAAGGGAATGAGTCTCTTTCCTTTTTGGCATAGGGAAAACTCTGTTTTTAAATTTCCCCTAGGATACCCTTTTGCTGAACTGGCCTCACGCCCTGACTATATCCAGCTGGTCCCCTCAACCCTAATTGAACCTAATTGGGGTCCTCTTGGCCTGCACAGCAAAGCCAAACACTGACATTGGGATTGCAGTGAGGGAAAGTGAGGCATTTATTGCAGGGCCCCAATCAAGGAGAATTGGGGAGCTCATGGTTTAAGACTCAAACTCCCTGATGGCTTACAGGTAAGAGTTTTTTAGTTTGTTTGTTTGAGACGGAGTCTTGCTCTGTTGCTCAGGCTGGAGTGCAATGGCACTATCTCAGCTCACTGTAACAACCTCTGCCTCCCAGGTTCAAGCGATTCTCTTGCTTCTCAGCCTCCTGAGTAGCTGGGATTACAGGCATGCACCACCACACCTGGCTAATTTTTGTATTTTTAGTAGAGGCAGGGTTTCATGATGTTGACCAGGCTGGTGTTGAACTCCTGACCTCAGGTGATCCACCTGCCTCGGCCTCCCAAAGTGCTGGAATTACAGGCGTGAGCCACCGTGCCTGCCCACAGGTAAGAGTTTTTAAAGGCAAGGAGGCAGAGGTTACAGGCAAAGCCATAAATCAATTACATGGAGGCTATCCATTGGTTTGACCTAAAAAGGCGGGACATTTGGAAGCAGAGGCCCACAGGTCATAGGTAGATTCAAAGGTTTTTTGTTGTTGTGTTTTTTGTTTTTTGTTTTTTTGAGACACAGTCTCACTCTGTCGCCAGGCTGGAGTGCAGTGGCACGATTTCAGCTCACTTCTACCTCTGCCTCCTGGGTTCAAGTGATTCTCCTGCCTCAGTCTCTGTAGCTGGGACTACAGGCGCACGCCACCACACCCAGCTAATTTTTTGCATTTTTAGTAGAGACGGGGTTTCACCATGTTGGTCAAGATGGTCTCGATCTCTTGACCTTGTGAGCCGCCCGCTTTGGCCTCCCAAAGTGCTGGGATTACAGGCGTTAGCCACTGTGCAGGGCCCTGGATTCAAAGATTTTTTGACTTGTATTTGGTTAAGGAGGTGAAGCTTTGTCTAAAAAAATTGAGATTTGCAGTAAAGAATGTTAGCTCTGGCTGGTAGCCGTGATCTCCTCTAGACCCCACAGGAAGAAATTTAGAACAAAAAACAGTGGTCAGGGTTCGGTCCTCAGTTTCTCTTTATGTGAGGTCTACGGCCAGTGGGTCTGTTTGGTGGGGGTCTGGGATCCTGAAAAACAACCCACAGACGTGTGTTAAGACACTATCCTTAGTTTCTGTAAGCGAACCAGACATCCCATGATTCTAACTTTCTTGCTAGTGTTTTGAGCTACTATTACCTTCTTGCTTATCAAGTCACTCATTTACTTCTCAGCAAGGTGCCTGGAATTACTAGCGAGGTGCCTGGAATTTCCCTTGAAGGAACTCAAAATTTTTCTTCATTTCCATGCTTGGGAGTTCCTGCTCTATCCCACAGTCCCTGCTAAAATCACCCTGCACAAACTCAAATCCTAGAATAAGTCCCTCTGGGATCCCTCCTCCCTGGCTTCCCAGTGGTCCTCTAGGGTGGCCTCTCCCTTGCTGCAGCAAGGTAAAAACTTATCTTTGTTGGACTACAGATGAATTTCTCGTTATTTTTGGCTGGCGAGGTCAACACCCCTCTCCAGTGAAATCTCCACAATCTAGCCGCAGATACCATTTCAACTACCCTCAACACTGTCCACACCTGTTTTGCCAAGATCCAAGCTCCCATTCTTTCTGTAATTTTAAGATGTTAATAAGTTTCCAAACTCCATGGCAGCGGGGAGGTGAGTAATCTTTTGGTGGGCCTCTTCCGTGTGCATGTTCATAAATTTGTATGCCCATTCTCTCTTTCTCTCTCTTTTTGTTTTGGAGACAGGGTCTTGCTCTGTTGACCAGACTGGAGTGCAGTAGAGCAGTAATAGCTCACTGCAGCCTTGAACTTCTGGGATGAAGCCATCCTCCTGGCTCAGCCTCCCAAGTAACTGGGACTACACGTGTGTGCCACCATGCCTGGCTATTTTATTTTTTGAGATAGAGTTTCGCTCTTGTTGCCCAGACTGGAGTGCAGTGGTGTGATCTTGGCTCACTGCAACCTCCACCTCTTGGGTTCAAGCAATCCTCCTGCCTCAGCCTCCTGAGTAGCTGGGATTACAGATGTCTGCCACCACACCCAGCTAATTTTTTTGTATTTTTAGTAGAGACGGGGTTTCACCATGTTGGCCAGGCTGATCTTGAACTCCTGACCTCAGGTGATCCAGCTGCTTCGGCCTCCCAAAATGCTGGGATTACAGGCG
This sequence comes from Homo sapiens, assembly GCF_000001405.40. Classification (NCBI taxonomy): domain Eukaryota; kingdom Metazoa; phylum Chordata; class Mammalia; order Primates; family Hominidae; genus Homo; species Homo sapiens. The sequence continues at coordinate 117,198,228 of NC_000012.12, forward strand.
TGAGCCATCGCGCCTGGCCTATGCCTGGCTATTTAAAAAAAAATTTTTATAGAGATGGGAGCTTGCACTGTTGCCCAGGCTGGTTTTGAATACCTGGCTTCAAGCAATCCTCCTGCCTTGGCCTCCCAAAGGCCTTTTCTCTTATTAATCTGCCTTTTGTGAGTTGATTTTTCAGTGAAACTTCTGAGGGCAAAGGGGAAGTTTCCCTTAGTCCCTACAGTGTTCCTTGTCCTCATAATTAGTACTTACATCCTTTCTTTTCTGGTCCACTTCTCTGCCCACCTGAGGGCCTTTGCTGATACGGTTCCTTTTCCCAGGAGTGCCTCCTCAGCCACACCTACTCATCTTTCAGATTTCTGCTCAAGTGCTCCTCTGTAGGAACACAAGTCCATGAACCCAGGCTAGGCAAGCTCCTTCTGCCTTGTGCCTTCTCAGAACCCTATGCCTTTCATTCAGTACACACTCACAAACTGTAGGAATGCATACATGGCCATGATTACTAGATTCACCCTCCCGCAGGGGCAGATCTGGGTTTAGTGGAGCCCGGAGCTTACGCTGTTTGGAGGCCCTATTTTATTGTATTTTATTTTAAGACGGAGTCTTGCTCTGTTGCCTAGGCTAGACTGTAAGTCTCGCTCTGTAGCCCAGGCTGGAGTGCAATGGCGTGATCTTGGCTTACTGCAACCTCCGCCTCCCAGGTTTAAGCGATTCTCTCACCTCAGCCTCCCAAGTAGCTGGGACTATAGGCACACATCATCATGCCCAACTAATTTTTATATTTTTGGTAGAGATGGTGTTTCACCATGTTGGCCAGACTGGTCTCAAACTCCTGACCTCAAGTGATCTGCCTGCCTCGGTCTCCCAAAGTGCTGGGATTACAGGTGTGCGCCATCACACCTGGCCTGGAGGCCCTGTTTTAGAAAAGAGATACACAAGGATGAATTCACAAGTACACAAGAGTACTAGAAAGAGTATGTAGAATGAGAAAATAAGTGGCCTTGGAAGGGAGGGATCTTTCCAAGGGAGGGGCCTTAAAGTTAAGCTTCATCACTTCCATCAAATCTCTTTCTATAATATAGCAACTGGCTGGGCACAGTGGCTCACGCCTGTAATGCCAGCATTCTGAGAGGCCGAGGTGGGTGGATCACCTGAGGTCAGGAGTTCAAGGCCAACCTTGCCAACATGGTGAAACCCTGTCTCTACTAAAAAATACCAAAAAAAAAAAAAAAAAAAAAAAATTAGCAGGGTGTGGTGGCACATGCCTATAATCCCAGATACTCGGGAGGCTGAGGCAGCAGAATTGTTTGAACCTGGGAGGTGGATGTTGCAGTGAGCCAAGATCATGCCACTGCACGCCAGCCTGGGCAACAGATTGAGACTCTGTCTCAAAAAAAAAAAAAAAAAAAAAAAGGCAACCTCAGCTGGGCGGGGTGGCTCATGCCTATAATCTCAGGACTTTGAGAGGCTAAGGTGGGAGGATCATTTGAGCCTAGGAGGTCGAGGCTGCAGTGAGCCATGATCACGCCACTACAATCCAGCCTGGGTGATAGAGCGAGAGCTTGTCTCAAACAAAAAAAAAAAAAAAAAAAAAAAAAAAAAAAGAAGGCAACTTCTATGAAAACACAGCTTCTGCTCAGTTTTGCTGAAATAGTTATTGAACGTACATCGAGGACATCTCATGTTGTCCTGCAGAGACACTTTCTGACCAGCTAATCAACCCCGTTATGTGCAGGGTTTGCTCCCCCTCATTGTCCCCTCAGAGCCACCTTATTGCTGAAGACTTCCCTGACCACTCTATTTAAACAGTCACTTTTTTCCCTGTTTTTTTTTCCTCCAAAAATTACTTAATCATCACTAACATTCTTCTTCCTACCCACTCCTCCTCCACTTCTTCCTCTTTCCTCCTCCTCCTCCTCCCCTTCCCCTCCTCCTCCTCCTTCTCCTCCTCCTCCTCTTCCTCCTCCTTCTTCTTTCTTCTTCTCCTTCTAGCTTCCTTATGAACCAGGCTCAGTGGCTCACGCCTGTAATCCCAGCACTTTAGGAGGCTGAAATGAGGCCGAGATGGGCTGATCACTTGAGGTCAGGAGTTTGAGACCAGCTTGGACAACATGGTGAAACCCTGTCTCTACCAAAAATACAAAAATTAGGCAGCTGTGGTGGCAGGCACCTGTAATCACAGCTACTCGTGAGGCTGAGGCATGAGAATCGCTTGAACCTGGGAGGCGGAGGTTGCAGTGAGCAGAGATCGTGCCATTGCACTCCAGCCTGGGCGATAGAGTGAGACTCTGTTTCAAAAAATAAATAAATAAATAAAATAAATAAATAAATAAATAAATAAATAAAAGCTTACTTATTGTCCCTGTCCTTCTTCTGTAATGTGAGTGCTACTGGTTGATCTACCAGAGTCTGCCACATAATAGGTCCTCATTCTATTTCTATGGAATGGATGAATGCATCCTACAAGCGAATCAATTGAGCTGACTGTATTTTGTGTGTGGGGTGGACATGAATCATTGGGAGCCAGAGGATGGGCTGTGTTAAGCTGGAAATGATCCCCAAACATGTCCAGGTTCTAATGCCCGAGAACTGTGAATATGTTACCTTATGTGGCAAAAGGGGGCTTTTCAGATGTGATTAAGTTAAGGAATCTTGAGAAGAGGAGATGATCCTGGATTATCTGGGTGGATCCAGTGTCATCCCAAGGGTTCTCATAAGAGGGAAGCAGGAGGGTCAGAGGCAGAGGATGAGGTGGGATAACGGAAGCAGAGGTTGGAGTGATGCTGGGCAGTGAGTCAAGGAATGTGGGAGGCTTCCAGAACCTGGAAAATGCAAAGAAATGGATTCTCCTCTAGAACAGTAGTAACAGTCAATGAATACAGATTTAATTCATATTTTGTATTAGCTTTCCTTTTTCTTTTTTTTTTTTAAGGAGTTTCTCTCTTGTTGCCCAGGCTGGAGTGCAGTGACGTGGATCTCTGATCACTGCAACTTCCACTTCCCAAGTTCAAGCAATTCTCCTGCCTCAGCCTCCCAAATAGCTGGGATTACAGGTGCTAATTTTTTGTATTTTTAGTAGAGACGGGGTTTCACCATGTTGGCCAGGCTGGTCTTGAACTCCTGACCTTAGGTGATCCACCTGTCTCGGCCTCCCAATGTGCTGGGATTTCAGGCGTGAGCCACCGCGCCCGGCCTTAGCTTTCCTTTCCCTTTTGTGTGTGTGTGTGTGTGTGTGTTTTGTTTTGTTTTGTTTTGAGACAGAGTCTTGCTCTGTCACCCAGGCTGGAGTGCAGTGGCGCGATTTCAGCTCACTGCAACCTCCACCTCCTGGGTTCAAGCAGTTCTCCTGCCTCAGCCTCCAGAGTAGCTGGGACTACAGGCGCCCACCACCATGCCTGACTAATGTTTGTATTTTTAGTAGAGATGGGATTTCACTATATTGGCCAGACTGGTCTCAAACTCCTGACCTTGTGATCTGCCTGCCTCGGCCTCCCAAAGTGCTGGGATTATAGGTGTGAGCCACCACGCTTGGCCAGCTTTCCTTTCTTTCTTTTTTCTTTTTCTTTTCTTTTTTTTTTTTTTGAGATGGGGTCTCACTCTTTTTTCCAGGCTGGAGGGCAGTGGTATAATCACTGCTCACTGCAGCCTCAGCCTCCTGGGCCCGAGGGATCCTCCTGCCTCAGCTTCCCAAGTAGTTGGGACTACAGGCGTGAGCCACCATGCCTAGCTAATATACTAGCTTTCTTCAGTTACTCTAACAAACTACTACAATCTAGTAGCTTCAAACCACGCAATGTTATTATTTTACAGCTCTGTACGTCAGGAGTCCCCCGTGGCTCTTTCAGGGCTAAAATCGAAGTGTTTAACAGAGCTGTGTTCCCACTGGAAGCTCTCGATGGACATCTGTTCTTTGTCTTTTCAGCTTGTGAAGGCCACTCGCATTCCCTCACTCACAGCTGCACCCCTCCAACCTCTGCAGCAATAATGCAGTATGCCAGGGAGATTTCGTGGCTGTTTGTTACTCAGCATTAGCGTGGCAAGAGCTGACTGGTACAAAGAGGCAGACAGGACATACGCACAGACACGTACACAGACAACTATTGCCAAGCAACACTTCCTGGGTGCAAAGTGATTGGTATTGACAAGCAGCATAGCCAGAGGCTACAGGCAGGAGCCCACAAAGGGGCTGTTTGAATCAAACCCTCAGCAATAGAAATGGTTACCAACAGAAATAAGAGAGGAGGGTGGGTTTCCAGGTAGTGGGGAGTGGCAGAGGCAAAGGCCCCATGGGAAGGAAAAGAAAAGCTGTGTTTAGAACCACCGAGGTGGATCAGCCCAGAAAAGTAGACTTGGGCAGAGCTGAGGAAGAAAGGGAAGCCAAAAAGGGCCACTTGTGGTCACACAAACACTGACTGTTGGCCAGAGGAACTGGCCCTTCCTCCTCTGATCCCTAGTGGCACCGAATGACTTTGAGCAAAGGCATGACGGGATGAAAGAGATGTTTTAGGAAGGGCACTCTGGGGGCAGCATGTGCTTTCCAAGGAAGGCAATACCACCAGCCTGGAGGGAAACGGAACAGGTGTCTCTCTCCCTGTAGACTTTGCCGGCAGCGTTCTGCTAATAACAGCCTTTCCATTAGAGACTCTTTTCGAAACGTTCAAGACTAAACGGATTTGGTGACTCGCTGCATTATGTTGAATTAATACCACAGATACTACACTTTGAGTTTATTGCGTGTCTCTGAAGCTTTCTCAAACTTGTTTTTTTTATTTTGAGATGGAGCCTCGATCTGTCGCCCAGGCTGGAGTGCAGTGGCATGACGTTGGCTCACGGCAACCTCCACCTCCTGGGCTCAAGTGATTCTCCTGCCTCAGCCTCCTGAATAGCTGGGACTGCAGGCGCACACCACAATGCCCAGCTAATTTTTGTATTTTTAGTAGAGACAAGTTTTCACCATGTTGACCAGGCTGGTCTCAAACTCCTGACCTCAAGTGATCCGCCTGCCTTGGCCCCTCAAAGTGCTGGGATTACAAGCGTGAGCCACGGCACCCAGCTGGCTTTCTCAAACTTAATCGTTGCTTTATCTGGTAGTTCCTTTGTTTATGAGAAAAGGAATTGAAGGAGAGAGGAGGAGAGTGGAAAACATCACCCCTGAATATCTTAAAATTCTTGGTCACAGTAAATTAGCAAGGGGCCAAGGGAGTGAGGCTTCCCATGTCAACTCCGGGTGCCAGCAGAGAAAACCTAGATGCATGAAGGCCAGGAGATCACTCACCTCTGTATCCCCATCCCTGAGTCTAGTAGTACGAAGAAATTTGAGGGTTTTTTTGTTTTGTTTTTGTTTTTTGAATCACTTTACCTGGCTGGGCGAGGTAGCTCACACCTGTAATCTCAGCACTTTGGGAGGCTGAGGCGGGCGGATCACCTGAGGTCAGGAGTTTGAGATCAGCCTGGCCAACATGGCAAAAACCTGTCTCTACTAAAAATACAAAAATTAGTCAGGTGTGGTGGCGTACATCTGTAATCCCAGCTACTCGGGAGGCTGAGGCAGGAGAATTGCTTGAAACCCAGGAAGCGGAGGTTGCAGTGAGCCAAGATGGTGCCACTGCACTCCTGCCTGGGTGACAGAGCGAGACTCCATCTCAAATAAAAATAAAAATAAAAATAAATAAAATTAAATAAATAAATAAATAAATAAAATAAATAAATAATCACTTAACCAATAACCAATTACTCAGGTCTCAACTCTTCTGCTGTCTGATTAACGTAACCTCATTTTCCTCTAGAGGCCATCCCTAAAGCTATTTCCTTTTAGTGATATGTATCAAACACTATGTTGATTCACCTGGTTGTAAAGACTTTGCCTGTTTTTGATTTCCTGGTAATCTTGTGGAGGGTACCACAAACAAATAAACACATTTTGACTCTGTAAGGGGCTGTGAAGCCCATATTCTATGTTCATTTGTAGTGACTCAAAAATATTTTTATATTCCCTCCCCCACCACTTGTTTCCCACCTGCTTCTCTTTCTGATTTGTACTTGGGAAGGTTCTGTTTTGGTGCAGACTCGGGTTTTTTACGTGGTTGCCAGGAAACAGAAGTCATTTGGTTGAGATGCATATAATGTTAAATTGTTCCCGGCTGCCTCTGGGGCAGAGCCTGTTGAAACTCCAGTGTGTATGTAAGTCATGCCGAGATCTGGTTAGACATGAAGATGTCCGAGACTTTCCCTGGACAGGTCAGGGAGATGCCCAGGCACTGGCTTTTTTTTTTTTTTTTTTTTTCGAGACGGAGTCTCACTCTGTCACCCAGGCTGAAGTGCAGTGGCATGATCTTGGCTCATCACAACCTCCACCTCCCGGGTTCAAGCAATTCTCCTGCCTCAGCCTCCAGAGTAGCTGGGACTATAGGTACACACCACCATGCCCAGCTAATTTTTGTATTTTTAATAGAGATATAGGGTTTCACTACGTTGGCTAGGCTGGTCTCAAACTCCTGACCTCGTGATCCGCCCGCCTTGGCCTCCCAAAGTGTTGGGATTACAGGCATAAGCCACCATGCCTAGCGGCACCGGCTTTTAAAAGGAGAGATCCCTGTAACTGCAGGTGGTCCGAGGAGGCTTGAGAAACTCAGTGCTTAAGTATCAAATAACTTCAAGATGGGCTGTTGGAACTTCTAGAAGACACAAAAGCTTGAGAAGGCTGGAAGGCACCAAAGCTGGGGCCTTATTTTATCTACCTATTCTACTCCATTCCATTCCATCCTGTCTTGCCCTAAGCATATTGCAAATATTAACTCATTTAACCCTATCGCAAACCAATGGCGTAGAAACGATCATAACTGATTTCACAGTGAAGAAATGGAAGTCTAGAAAGGATGGGTAACTTACCCAAAGTTGCATAGTTAGAAAGTGGAGGAGCTGGGATTTGAACCAAGACAGTCCGGGTGTCTTAGTGACAGCATGGGGGGGTGGATAGGAATGCGGCTTCTTCGGCTGCACAGCTTGGGTTCAAATCTCACCTCTAACATTAGCATGCTATGTTAGCCTTGCATAAACTGTCTGATCCCCTTGCACGTCAGTTACCCAAGCTTTAAATTGGAGGAGAGTAAATCGTAACATGTCAAAGCATTCTTGTCAAGATTAGCTTTTTTTTCTTTTTTTCTTTTTTGCCTGACTCACTCTGTTGCCCAGGCTGGAGTGCAGTGGCATAATCACGGCTCACTGCAGGCTTGACCTCGCAGGCTCAAGCAATTCTCCCACCTCAGCCTTCTGAGTAGCTGGGACTACGGCTACACCTGGGACTACAGGAGCACACCACCACACCCAGCTTTTTTTTTTTTTTTTTTTTTTTTTTGAGACAGATTCTCACTCTTTCACACAGGCTGGAGTGCAGTGGTGCAATCTGGGCTCACTGAAACCTCCACTTCCTGGGTTCAAGCGATTCTCCTGCCTCAGCCTCCTGAGTAGTTGGGGTTACAGGTGTGTGCTACCACACCCAGCTAATTTTTGTATTTTTAGTAGAGATGGGGGTTTCGCCATGTTGGCCAGGCTGGTCTTGAACTCCTGACCTTAGGTGATCCACCCACGTTGGCCTCCCAAAGTGCTGGGATTACAGGCATGAGCCACTGCGCCCGGCTGTATTTTGTATTTTTTGTAGACAGGGTCTCACTATGTTGCCCAGCCTGGCTTGAACTCTCGGGCTCAAGCAATCCCCCCACTTCAGCCTCCCAAAGTGCTGGGATTACAGGCATGAGTCACTGCGCCCGGCTGTATTTTTGTATTTTTTGTAGAGACAGGGTCTCACTATGTTGCCCAGGCTGGCTTCAACTCCTGGGCTCAAACAATCCTCCCACTTCAGCCTCCCAAAGTGTTGGGATTACAGGCATGAGCCACTGCGCCCACTAAGACTGGCTTTTAATAACTGTTAGCCCTTCTTAAAATTGGCTAATACATTGTTGTAGGACAGTAAGTAGGGCATGGAGTTCCCTGACTCCTGCTCTGTCTCTGATCTTCATCCCACACTTGAACTTAGGCATGAGGCTCAGGGATGGGATGGAGGAGTCAGGAGTGATGTATGTGTGCAGGTGGGGTGGGCAATGAGTTGAATAAGCTACTTGGTAATTTAAAAAAACCTGAATGTCGGCTGGGTGCAGTGGCTCACGCCTGTAATCCCAGCACTCTGGGAGGCTGAGGCAGGCAGATCACCTGAGGTTAGGAATTTGAGACCAGCCTGGCCAACATGGTGAAACCCCGTCTCTAACAAAAATACAAAAAATGTAGCCGGGTATTGTGGCGGATGCCTGTAATCCCAGATACTTGGGTGGCTGAGTCAGGAGAATCATTTGAACCTGGGATGGATGTTGTAGTGAGCTGAGATAGTGCCCTGCACTCCAGCCTGGGCGATGGCGATGGAGCGAGAGTCTGGCTCAAAAAAATAAAAAATAAAATAAATAAAAAAGCTGAAATGTCTAGTCACAGCATCCAAATCGCCATGTCTGGAAGGGCATGATGAAGCCTCATCCCCCTGCATCAAACCCAACTGCTAGTTTATTCCTTTATGGTCACAAATCTGTCGGGCATTTGACATCAGCACTTCTTCATCTATTTTTTCTTTTTTTTTTTTTTCTGAGATGGAGTTTCTCTCTTGTTGCCCAGGCTGGAGTGCAATGGTGTGGTCTTGGCTCACTGCATCCTCCGCCTCCCGGATTCAAGTGATTCTCCTGCCTCTCACCTTCCTGAGTAGCTGGGACTACAGGTGTGCACCACCATGCCTGGCTAATTTTTGTATTTTTAGTAGAGATGGGGTTTTGCCATGTTGGCCAGGCTGGTCTCAAACTCCTGACCTCATGTGATCTGCCCGCCTCGGCCTCCCAAAGTGCTGGGATCACAGGCGTGAGCTACCGCGTCCGGTCTCTTCATCTATTCTTTTACTGCTTTTGAGGTCTCTTTGTTTTGGAACTGGGCCTGAAACCAGCCAGGAATTAGAGTTTAGGGTCCTCAGGGAGGAGGGCCCTAAATGGAAGAGGGCTGAGGGTGAAGGTCTTACTGTTTCTCTGGGGCCCTGGCTATGGATGCAGCTGTGCTGGAGGAAAAGGGGGTGTTGGGGAGGCGGGCAGAGAGGACGCTCAGCTACGCCACCCAGATCTGCATCGGGACTCAGGAACGAGTCCCCTGGCTGCCGGGAGCACCCTCAGCCTTCAGCCCCTTGGGTGTGGCTTCTGCTGGTGAGAGTTGCCTGACTCAAGATGTACGGGTCTAAAATCCTGCCTTCCAGTCCCAAATCGGGACACCTCTGAAAGGTCACCTTTAGAATGCCCTGCAGGGCTGGCTGAAGCTTCTGTTGAGACTTATGGCAGCTCAGCTTTGCCTCTGACCAGAGAGGCCTCCTCCCCTCCCCTCCTCTCCCCCTGCCCTTCACTTCTGCCTCCTCCTTCCCCTCCCCTTCTCTCTTCTTCCCTTAGTTTTCTTCTCCCCTCCCTCTTTTCCTCTCTTCTTGCTTTCCCTCCTCTCTGCTCCTTCTCCTCCTCCTCTTTTCTCTCCTTCTTCTCCCTCCTCTACCCTCCCTCCTCTTCCCCTCTTTTCCCTCCCTCCCCTCCCGCTCCCGCTCCTTCCCTGGTCTTTCTTTTCCCTCTCCCCTGTCCCTTCCTCTCTTCCCTCTTCTCTCCTCCCCTCCCCTCTCCTCCCTTACCCTCCCCTCTCACTCTCTCCCCTCCCTTCTCTTCCTCTCTCCTCCCCTTCACTCCCTTCTCCTCTCTTCTCCCCTTCCCTTCTCTCCCCTCTCCTCCCCAAGAGCACTCTCTTGTCAGCCTCCTGCCAACTCCATCTCAGAGCAGGCTTCTGGGGCACCCAACCCAGGACAGCAGGCCAAAGTGTGAGAAACTCCAAGCAAATCCAACAGAAGACAGCAGCCAGCCAAGTTGAATCCACTTTTTAATATTGTAACCATAATGCAAACAAGCATAATAGGCTTTTGTTGAATCCCATAAAATTGGAAGATGAGAACTATACAGAAGAAGAGCATGCGACAAACACAGCCTGGACAACCTCGCAAAGAGCGTGGGGTGGGCGTCAGTCCTTCAAGGAAGGTGCTGGAGCACAGGGACACTTGGCAGAGATTAGCAGCATTGAGAGCTCAGAGGTAGGGGGGACGGCCGAGTTTCTGACAGCGTGTGTGTGTGTGTGTGTGTGTGTGTGTGTGGTGAGATGCGACCAGGTCTGCCCACCTCCCCAGCTTCCCAAGCCCGGAACGGACACTGCGACGTGGGGTGCCCGGCACCGCTCTTTGGGCCTTCTGGAAAACCACTGCTGAGCCAGGAGTGTGAGTCTTAACAATCACAACGAGAACACAACAATGAAAACAGTGGCGGCAGAGCACAGGACATGGGAGGGGACTGAGACCCAGCTCAAGAGCACTGGATCTCAGTGAGTCTTAATCAGAACCAACACCAAGGACACAGTGTCTTATTGAAACAGACTGCCATCCTCTGTTCTGGCATGGGAGGGCTTTTTTTTTTTTTTCCACAGGGTCTCATTCTGTCAACAAGCTGGAGTGCAGTGGTGCCATCTCGGCTCACTGCAGCCTCTGCCTCCTGGGTTCAAGTAATTCTCCTGCCTCAGCCTCCCGAGTAGATGGGATTACAGATGCCCGCCACCACGCCGGGCTGATTTTTGTATTTTTAGTAGAGACGAGGTTTTGCCATGTTAGCCAGGTTGGTCTCTAACTCCCAGCCTCAAGTGATCTGCCAGCCTCGGCCTCCCAAAGTCCTGTGATTACAGGCATGAGCCACCACGCCTGGCCTGGGAGGGGTTTTTGAAAGCATACTGCCCTCCCCATGCCCCCTCCCCCGGACACCCTCAAATCCCACTTTGGCAGCAGATAATGGAAACAACCACTGGGCTAGGCAAAGTTTCTGCTGCGTGCTCCAGGAAATCTATAATGAGAAGTCCTGGGGTAGCCAGCAGAGATTCTCTTGACCCTGAAGTCCAAGAGAGGGGTGTTGCCCCCTGGGGACATTGGGCAATGTCTGATGACATACTTGATTGTTACCGTTGGCAGGACACTGCTACAGGTATCTTGTGGATGGAGGCCAGGAATGCTGCTCAGCTTCCTACAGTACCCAAGACGGCCCCCACAAGAAAGAATTACCCAGCCCCAAATGCCAATAGTGCTAAGGTTGACAGACCCTGCGCTACAGTCTCCTAGAACTTAGGAGTCAAATCTGGGCACTTCGATGTCCTGGAGTTACTTTCTAAAAGACTACAGGAAGCAGTGCATGGAGGCAGATTTGTTCCCGCCTGCCAGGGCCATCTCGTTAATAACGGACTGTGTTTTGGGCCAGACGGGCATAGCCCCGCTTGACCAGAACTGTTTGGGTATTTTAGAACAAAACAAACTCATATAAACATACTAAGGCATATTGACAGCTGACCACCTCCCTCGCACATGGCTTTGATAAGTATTAATAGGAAACAGACTCTCGACAGACACTGCTTTCCACGGGTGAAAGTGTACCTGGGTCCTTACATTTGGGGAAGGGCAGCTTTTCTTTTGGGGCCCCTTTGCCACAAGGCAGGGACTGGCAGTGGGCCAAGGATAGGGAGTGTGAGATAAAGGGCAGAGGCCAGGCCAGGTTGGCCTCCAAAGTCAAATCCCTGTTCATGGGGAACATCTATGTTGACTCCCTGGGAGGCAGGCCCCTTCCCTCAGACCCTCAGACCTGTGTTTCCTTAATCCCAGCACCTGGTCTTTCATTTTAATTTTTTTTAGAGACAGGGTCTTGCTCTGTCACTCAGGCTGGAGTGCAGTGGTGCGATCCTAGCTCACTGTCGCCTCAAACTCCTGGGACCAAGTGATCCTCCTGCCTCAGCCTCCCAAGTAGCTGGGACCACAGGAGCATGCCATCATGCCCAGCTAATTTTTTTTTTTTTTTTTTTTTAGTAGAGACGAGATTGCGCTGTGTTGCCCAAGCTGGTCTCAAACTCCTGGCCCCAAGTGATCCTCCCACCTCAGTCTCCCAAAGTGCTATTACAGGCATGAACCACCATGCCTGGCCTACTTTTTGAGCCAAAGAGGACATTTGGATGCAGGAGACTATGAAGGTTGGGGACAGCCAGAGAGTATGAATGGGTTATAAAGGAAGACTAGTTAGTGTTTCTCTCTCCTTGTTGCTTCCTGGCAGTCTCAGACTACATTCCTGATACAGACAGAAGGCTTTGAGGACATGGTGGCCACAGCGGCATGCTGGGTATGTGGGGCAGCGGGTAGGGAAATATACAAGGAAACATGGCTGGTTTAAAACACAGGCTAGAAGTCCACAGATTTCCTAATGGCAAGAATGAAAAGGCTGCATTAGGCGCTGGTGCTGTCGGAGTGAAGGGGCTCAGGCATCTGGATTGCCCATCCTATTAGGACCATTTGCCCTATGAGCTAGGTCAGGACACCTCTCACTTGTTTTGAGCTTAGGGCAAGACCTGACCTCTTTCAAAGTCCAGAGCAGGCAGCTGCTGAAAGCGTGTTTGGTCAGAAGATTCTGTGTTCTTAGCCAATGTCTACTGGCTGGGGGTCAGTTTTCCCTCCGGGCATCTGGGCATGGCTGGACTTGGGAAGGATTCACCCTGTTGACTCCAGAGAAGCTGACTATCACATCAGCTCTGAAAACTCATCTTTTCCCTGAGCCTGCTCTTCAGAGACCTCTCTCTCAGCTAGGGGCAAGATGTTTTATTTTATTTTATTTTATTTTATTTTTTTTGAGATAAGAGTCTTGCTCTGTCACCCAGGCTGGAGTGCAGTGGTACAATCTTGGCTCACTGCAGCCTCCACCTCCTGGGCTCAAGCGATCCTCCTTCCTCAGCCTCCCAGGTAGCTGAGACTACAGGCGCATGCCACCATGCCCAGCTAATTTTTGTATTTTCTTAGTAGAGTCAGGGTTTCTACTAACTGGCTGACTGGTCTCCAACTCCTGACCTCAACTGATACACCCACCTCGGCCTCCCAAAGTGCTGGGATTACAGACATGAGCTACCGCGCCCAGCCTGCAAGATGCTTTAATTTCTCCTTTATTCTCACCCTCTACAATGGATGGGGTGCCAGGTACGCTGATTCAGTTCCTGGAGTCTCTTTATCACTACATCCGCCTCTTCCCTCACTCAAGCCTTGGTTGCAGCAATAACCCCCCCAACAGCTCAACGGGCCATGCTCTGTACTGTGGCCAGAACTTTCTTTTCCAAGTATAACTCCAATCGCCTTAATGTCCCTTTTTGAAAAACATTCTTAGGGACTCCCTGTTGCCTTCTGAATAAAGCCTAAATTTCTTGTAATGCCACTCACCTCTCCCCACGGTCTGGTCCCAGCCCACCTTTTCTCACCCTCCTCAGCCTTCCAAAGCCAGCCTCAATTTATCTTACATGCTCCCTGTCCGTGCCTTTCCTCTCACTCTTCCCAATTCCTGGACAACTCTTACCTTCCAGAAGCTACCAGTGAAATCCCGCCCATTTCTCAAACCCCAGAAATTTATGTCAGTTCCAAGACGGGTGTCTCTCTCCATCAGATTATAACCTTTGGCTGGGCGTGGTGGCTCATGCCTGTAATCCAGCACTTTGGGAGGCTGAGGTGCGTGGATCATTTGAGGTCAGGAATTCAAGACCAGCCTGGCCAACATGGTGAAACCCTGACTCTACTAAAAATACAAAACTTAGCTGGGCGTGGTGGTAGGCGCCTGTAGTCCCAGTTACTCAGGAGGCCGAGGCAGAAGAATCACTTGAACTGGGGGAGGCAGAGGATGCAGTGAGCTGAGATCGTACCACTGTACGCCAGCCTGGGTGACAGAGCAAGACTCTGTCAAAAAAAAAAATAGATTCTAACCTTCTGCACGAGAGGAACTGTGTTTTGCTTATCTCTGCAAACTGCCCGGTGCCTTCCACACACTGGAGAAGCAAGACATGTTATAAGTTAAGTGAAAAATTAAAATGCAGTAAGTTTTGAACCAGGTACTGTAACTGGGCATTTCGTGGGCATTGTCTCATTCAATCCACCTTGTTATACAGGTGGGTATGCAGACTCTAAAAGGTCAAGTGAGCCGCCCACAGCCATCTGCACCAACAGGGGCAGAATTAGGATTTGCACTCAGGTCGGCTCCCAAAATTCCATATTGATGGGTCTGAAGTGTCCCCCCGCAAAAGAAAGACACCTGGCTGTCTCACTCCAGGGAAACCAAAAGAAGCCCTCTCTCCTCCCAAGGAGTTTAACATCATCTCTCTGCTCTTTCACGACACAAGCTGTGGGAACTGGATGCATAGTGATGGCAGGTGAGCATGATGTTCCGGTGTTCCTATTTCAGGAGACGTCTCATTCCTCCTGGCCAAACTCACTTTTGTGAAATGGGGCTGGAGCTGCTACTGGTCAATTCAGGGGGAAGAGGGAAATAAATGGGCCATAACCCGAATAACCCCCAAATATCTTGTCAACCCTATTTTGCTTACCCATTGCTTAATTCTATTTTGCACTTAAACGGTTGGCTACGAGGCCTGGATGAAAAGCCACCACGAGAGGGCAGTATTTCCCCACCCTTGATCTGAGCCTAACAATCTGGACTCCACTCTGGTCCTTGAGAGGTTACTCAACAGAGAGAGAGGCTTTTGGTATCAGGAATTCTGGCAAATGAAAGAAACACATCAGATCGCTCTCCTGCCTTCTAGCCTGGAGTTGTGAAGCAGCTTGTGTTGGGGATTGAAAGGTGTTTACTTAAAAAAAAATCTTTCTGGAGAAGAAGGATGAATCCTGGTTTTATAATCATTTCTTTGGACTCCTTGACAAAATGAGACAATGTTTCCATCTGTCTGCTACTAGAAAGGCAGGCACATGCAGAAAGGAGGTGCCTGGCACCTTGTAAGCGCTTCTAAGTATTTATTCCCTGATGGAAAAGCATTCCTGCATAAAGCTTGACTTGGAGTGGGAAGCACTGATCAATTTGTCTTTAATGGGGATTGGACACAACAGTTTCCTTCCCTGGGGAATTGGGGAGGCGTCTCCAAAGCTATAAAGGATTGGAAAGAAAGCCTTTGGGAGGAAAGCTACTAGGAGCTGGAAATGGGTTTGCAGGAAAGGAGTTTAGAATGGGCTTCCCTTCAGGATTAGAAGGGGTGAGTGTGGGATGCTAAGTGTTTGTTCTTTATATCTGTGGAAGAGTGAGCAGGGGAAATTGGGATTAAAGGAAGGCAGGGGAGATTATAGCTGGCATGAAGTCAAGCTCCATGTGGCAGGAACAGGACACCGGTGGGGGCTGCCAGGGATGGCAGAGCAAGGTGAGTCATAGATTGCCTTTTCACTTTAACAGTCTCCTGGCCTGGGCCCTTTGGGGTCTTGGTGCCCCCACTGTAAAGCCCTTTCAAAGAGGGCCAGTGCACTTCCTCTTTAGCAGACACCCAAACTGAACAACAAGATATGCCCACGTACAGTATATAAAAGAAATGTGGTTTTTCTGTATAGCAAGACACAACAAACAGGGTAGAACCAGCAGAACATTCCCTTTCCATCCTTGGGGACCCTGCAGTCTGGGAGGCCACTAGGATTTCTTGTCTCTTTCTGGGAACTGCCTGACACTAATTTGTAGTATTTAAAAAAGTATACAAAGGGATCCCTTCCCACCATTTACTCTGAGAGAGTAAATTCAACAGGTTGCCTCTTAGGGAGGAATTACACCGGCTCCAATTCCTACCGAAGACTTGGCTGCCCATTTTTGATCTGAGTTGAGGGTAACTTATTTGTCAAAATTAATTTAACAGGTTTAAAACTTTGGAGATCAACTGCAGAGGGCAACAAGCCTGAGGGACAAGTTCTTCCCACCCCAAGTTGTGGCTCCTATCGAAGAAGCCACGTGGGACCTCATTATGGCAACTCTTTCCAACCTCATCCACTTTAACCAGCTTCCATTATTTCATCCCCAAGGGTGAAGCAGCAAGCCCGCTTTGGGGGAATAAAAAAATAATAATCATATTGTTACTTGATATTGTTTCCAGGCACCAAAGCTTTAACATTTAATCCATTCATATTCTTTAGGTTCGTATGACATTATGACTAGGAAAAACTGAGGACAAGTGACCCATCCAAAGTCATCCAGTGGCAAAGTGGGAAGATCCTTATTGCCACCAGGCTTCTTTGAACAACATAACTTCCAGGCCCCTTGGATGCTATTGCTGGAGGAGGGGGTCAGTCAATGGATGTGGCAAAGTCAAGTGATTCTAGCTGGTATGGGTGGGTTTGGGGAGGGGATTTGCACAATCCATTGGATGGGTTCATGTCACATGAGGGCTCTGCTCACTGGTATCAAAATCTAAATGCAGCAAATTCTGGGAATGCCTCTTTCATTGGGAGACAGCCCCTTTAATCAATTTCCCACTCCTCTCCCCATGCCCTGAACCCTTTCTAACTAGAACAATTATGGGGCTTCCAAATGTTTCAGGTACATGGGCGTGGACCCTAATTATGGACACACGAGGGATTAATATGGGCCAGGGACACGTTTCTTGGCATTGAGGGTCTTCAATGAAAGCAGTGGCAATCTAAGATCGACACACTTGTGCAGGGAAGAGGACGGACAGAGACCTGGCCCATCACACACACACACACACACACACACACACACACAGGCACGCACAACCAAAATGTCATCATAAAAAAGGAGAAAGGGGGACTTCAGTGGCTGAGGGACTGGCTCAGAGAGCTTGTGCCTAGTTCCTGCAGCCTTTCCAGGGGAACCCCAGAGAAAAAAACCCCCACAGCGACGGCCATGTTCCAGTGGTTTCATGCACCCGTGAGTTGCCCTTGTCGGCAAGAGAGGGAGTGGGAACAGAGTTTTGTAAGAGCCACTGCAGATTAGAAAAGCATTGCATCGCAGCAGGAAAACTCAAGGAGTAAACCCAGGAGGGCCGAGGAAACCACTGAGGGGCGAGAAGCCCGAGGAGGGAAACCAGGGCACAGCGACAAGGACAGGAGGCAGAGCGAGGGCCACAGGGGGTCCCAGAGGAAAGGTTCAGCAGTGTCTGTCCGCGCTTACAAAACTTGCAGCCGGCTGGGCAAGAGGGTCCAGTTAGGAGCTGAAAACCCTGTGGAAAGAGAAGTTGGGGGGCAGTTAGTGCCCCAAGGGCAAGGCTGCTGTTTCCTCTGAGTGCCCCAGAGAAAATCACCCATGCTCTGGGCTCAGGGGCTTTGTCTCTTTCTTTTTTTTTTTTTTTTGAGACGGAGTTTCGCTCTGTCACCCAGGCTGGAGTGCAGTGGCACGATCCCAGCTCACTGCAATCCCAGCAGGGTTCAAGCGATTCTCCTGCTTTAGCCTCCCAAGTAGCTGGGATTACAGGTGCCTGCCACCACGCCCGGCTAATTTTTGTATTTTTAGTAGAGATGGAGTTTCACCATGTTGGCCAGGCTGGTCTCAAACTCCTGACCTCAGGTGATCTGCCCGCCTCAGCCTCCCAAAGTGCTGGGATTGCAGGCGTGAGCCACTGCACCCGGCCCGTCTCTTTCATTTATTCTGTAGCCTTAGTGTCTTGGACAGGACCTGGCACCTAGCAGGGGCTTGTTTTGAAAGAATGAATGAATGAATGAATGCTCACAAGTACAACTGGCCAGGAAGAGAAACATTTAAAAGGACTTTTTTTTTTTTTTTTTTTTTTTTGAGACTGAGAGTCTCACTGTGTCGCCCAGGCTGAAGTGCAGTGACGTGATCTCGGCTGGCTGCAACCTCTGCCTCCTAGGTTCAAGCGATTCCTGTGTCTCAGCCTCCTGAGTAGCTGGGATTATAGGCACATGCTACCACACCTGGCTAACTTTTGTGTTTTTAGTAGAGACAGGGTTTTGCCATGTTGCCCAGGCTGGTCTTGAACACCTAGGCTCAAGTGATCCACCCAT
The DNA here is from genome assembly GCF_000001405.40 of Homo sapiens. Taxonomy (NCBI): domain Eukaryota; kingdom Metazoa; phylum Chordata; class Mammalia; order Primates; family Hominidae; genus Homo; species Homo sapiens. Next base: position 117,216,127 of record NC_000012.12, read on the forward strand.
CTTTGCCTTCCAAGGTGCTGGGATTACAGGTGTGAGCCACTGGGCCCGTCAAAAGGGATTTTTTTTTTTTTTTTGAGACGGAGTCTTGTTCTGTCACCCAGGCTGGAGTGCAGTGGCGGGATCTTGGCTCACTGCAAGCTCCACCTCCCAGGTTCATGCCATTCTCCTGCCTCAGGCTCCCGAGTAGCTGGGACTACAGGCACCTGCCACGACGCTCGGCTAATTTTTTGTATTTTTAGTAGAGATGGGGTTTCACCGTGTTAGCCAGGATGGTCTTGATCTCCTGACCTCATGATCCACCGGCCTCAGCCTCCCGAAGTGCTGGGATTACAGGGGTGAGCCATCGCGCCCGGCCTTTTTTTTTCTCTTGAGATAGGGTCTTGCTCTGTTGCCTAGGCTGGGGTGCAGTGGTGCCATCATGGCTCACTGCAGTCTCGATCTCCCTGGGATCAGGCCATCCTCTTGCTTCAGCCTCCCAAGTAGCTGGGACCACAGGCGCGTGTCACCATGCCCTGCTAATTTTTAAATTATTTGTAGAGACAGGGTCTCCTTGCGTTGCCCAGGCTGATCTTGAACTCCTGGGCTCAAGCAATTCACCCACCTCAGCTTCCCAAAGTGCTGGGATTATAGGTGTGAGCCACCACACCTGGCCTTAAAGGCTTTTGACAACCCAGGGACTTGTGACCTTAAAGACAATGATATGAGTCTACTGGCCACGACAGTATGTTTTAGAGACTGCTGTGTCATCGTAAGGGGAAAACAAAGAAGATGCCAAATTCAAGAAATGAGTGTATGCCTTGTGTTGTTGAAAAAAGAGACAGCTGAGTCCCCACCCAATTTAAAGTAAAGGGCGTCCAGGGGTGCTTTCCAGGGGTTCTGTGGCAGGGACTGGGGCGGGGAGCACTGGGAAGTGAAATTACGATCAAGGTTGCCATGCCATAGAATTCAAGTAAGGTTTAAATCATGAGACCCGGGCACAGTCTTCTGGTGCCTCAGCCTGTTTCCAGCAATTTCTAGAGGTTCAGTGAAATTGTCAAAATCATGTGAATTATAATTTGTGTTGATGAAAAAGCCCCCAGCCATTTAGGGGATGAGAGAGCTGGTGGAAAGGACACAAAAACTGAGCGCCAGACCTCCACCTAGCTCCAGGGGCGATCCCATTCTTCTCCCCACTTTCCTAAATGAGCAGCGTTCAAACACTTTTGTAGAAGAAACCCTTGCCCTAAATCTGATGCTAAACCCCAGTAGGTAAAAAACAAACAAGACAGATACTTCTGGTAGAAATGTCACAACTCCGGCCATGTGCGGTGGCTCACACCTATAATTCCAGCACTTTGGGAGGCTGAGGTGGGCAGATCACTTGAGGTCAGGAGTTTGAGACCAGTCTGGCCAACATGGCGAAACCCCGTCTCTACTAAAAATACAAAACTTAGCCGGGTGTGGTGGTGCACGCCTGTAGTCCTAGCTACTTGGGAGGCTGAGGCACGAGAATTGCTTGAGCCTAGGAGGTGGAGGATGCAGTGAGCTGAGACTGTGTCACTGCACTCCAACCTGGAGTACAGAGCAAGACTCCGTCAAAAAAAAAAAAGCAACTTCCCAGAGGTAGGAGCCATCATTACACTAGGGGGTGCCCCAAACAGAAGCCGGCCCCCAAAGCAGGCATTTCCTCCCACACTGGACAGGGCCTCAGGGTTCCCCTGGAGAATTAGTTAAAAGGCAAACTGCTGCATCCTAACTCCTGAGTTTCAGATCCAGCAGGTCTGGGGTGGTCTGGGAATTTGCATTTTGAACACGTTCCCAGATGGTGCTGATGCTGCTGTTTTGGGGACCCTGCCGTGGGAAAGCCAGACATTCCTGCCCAGTGGGACCTAGAAGAGAGGGCTCTTCCTGCCCCTCACCCAGGGATGGAGCCAGCTTACTCATCGGTGTCTTTTTTGCTCTCTTCAATGAAGGCAATGGACTCAGATCTAAGGCGGTTGGTCACTTCGTACGTTCGCAGGGTGACTCCAAAAATATCCTCATGGTATCGGTTGTCATCCTAGAAGACAGAAACAGCCAGAAAACAGCTCTCAAATGCCAGATAAAGGCTTGGAGCAGGGGCAGACTTGCCTGACACCTGGAATGGAATATCCCTAAGGAAGATGGTTCCCAAAGAGATGAGGCTGAAGCCAGTGTCCCCGAGGTACCTTTGATCTCGAAGACTCTGCTCAGCAAAACTGTTCTCTGGGACGTGGGGCAACTGTTCTCTGGGACATAGCCCAGTTGGCAAAGAACATTTAGGTTGCCATCTGGAAACACCGCTGCTGCTTGGTGGATTCTCAGGTGAAAAGGAGCGATGAGGTCAAATGGAAACCTCACCATTCCCTCTTTCCTCCCTCCAACGTGCTCTTGCAAGTTCAGGTCTGGGCAAAACTGGGTTTAGTGTGAAATAGCCCATGAGACCAGAAGAAAGGGGAGGAAGGAACAAGTGGCCGCATAGCACTCAGGGAACTCCCCACAGCTACCCACAGTGGAGACTCCGTGGGCATGCGTGAGTTTTTCTGAAGATGAGCATCTTTGCTCAACATTGCCCAGAAAGAAGCAAGCAAAGAGAAGAACCTCCCCCGGAGTCTCAAGAAACAGCCCAAACGACGACTGACTTGTGACATCTGAGAATTTACCAAGCTATGGGAGCTCCTGTGGCGGGCAGTCAATATTCTCAAAGGGCAAGAGGATCAAACAAAGAGAAAATGCATCTCAATGCTGAAGAAGGGCAGTGGTTGGGAGTGTGCGTCTGGCAAGGCAGGCATAATCGTGCACTAGGTTCCAGCCTCCCCATCTGTAGAGTGGGTTCATTTTCAGTTGGGGTTAGTTGTTTTTTTTTTTTTTTTGAGACAGAGTCTCGCTCTGTCACCCAGGCTGGAGTGCAGTGGCGTGATCTCGGCTCACTGCAACCTCCACCTCCCGGGTTCAAGTGATTCTCCTGCCTCAGCCTCCTGAGCAGCTGGGACTACAGGCATGCGCCACTACGCCCAGCTAATTTTTGTATTTTTAGTAGAGACGGGGTTTCACCATGTTGGTTGGCCAGGATGGTCTCGATCTCTTGACCTCGTGATACACCTGCCTTGGCCTCCCAAAATGTTGAGATTACAGGCGTGAGCCACTGCACCCAGCCATTTTTTGTTTTGTTTTGTTTTGTTTTTTTTGTTTTTGTTTTTGAGATGGAGCCTCACTCTCGTCGCCCAGGCTGGAGTGCAATGACACGATCTTGGCTCACTGCAAACTCCACCTCCCAGGTTCAAGCAATTCTCCTTCCTCAGCCTCCCAAGTAGCTGGGGCTACAGGTGCCCGCCACCATAGCCAGCTAATTTTTGTATTTTTAGAAGAGACAGGGTTTCACTATGTTAGTCAGGCTGGTCTTGAACTCCTGACCTTAGGTGATCCTCCCACCTTGGCCTCTCAAAGTGCTGGAATTATAGGCGTGAGCCACCGAGCCCAGCCGGGGTGAGTTTTAAACTCTCTTCTGCAAAATCCTGGGGAATCTTTAAAAGTGTGTCTAGAGGGTCACACTAAAGAGACTGAGTATATAGAGGGCTCCACAGTTCTCCTCGGATCTCTTTGTGCAGTGCCCAACCTGCACAACTACATGGGGCAGTGCTGCAGCTTCTGGGGCAGGAGAAGTTAGGTTAGAATGGTTTCTGTCTAGCTACCAGAGGTCCACTCACTCGTTATTTTCACACACAGCCTCCAGTCATATTTGCTACACCTGCCTGCATGCCCAGCCATCCTTCTACTTTCTCTGTCATTGTTTGGGACCATCTATATCCTCTACCCTCAGTGGTAAGTGCAACGAATGGGAGCAGGGATATCATCGTGGCTCCCCTAATCATCAAGACAGGTTGGATGAAAAAGGGGGGATAGGAGAGTGGATGTAGGAAAAGGGACCTGGGAAGTCAGCCTGTCACTCACCCTCATCCGGCTGATGAATACGCCGGCGTCCTCTGCCGAGAGCTTCCCCTGCTGGGTCATGATGCGCTGGATGGCTTTGAGGACATCAGCAGCCATGGTGACGTCCCCACAGACGTATATGTGGCCCCCTTGCTCCTTCAGGGCTCGGTACACAGACTCCGCCAGCTGCTCCTGCAGGATGTCCTGCACGTACTTCTGCAAGGAGCAGAGAGCAGTGAGAAGGGGCTGGGCTGTGCAACGTGCCTGCCATAGCCCATGTCTGCCCAGGAAGCAGAGCCTGACTCAGGGGCTTGTGGGCAGGTAGGATCTTTTGTGAGCTGATCCCAGGGAACAAGAGTGAGGGACTGGGAAGAGTGAGATAGAGAAGGCGGGAAAGTCAATTGGAGGGTGCGGGAATGCACTGCTACCCTCTTTGGATAACTGGAGCTCAGCTCTGCTAAGGACCCTCCAGGGAGCTGGATAGACTGTTTCCCAGAATCATCCCCTGGAGAGGGGAAAGACGGGGAGCATTCACTACCCACTTCTCTCTCCTGGTGGCCAATGGTCACCGGGTGTTAACACCTGCACATTTCCAGGTGTGCAGCTGGTTATTGCAGGCACCCTATGTTACAGTGCCAGGGAAGCCCTGGGCCGATAGCAAGAGATGGGGGTGAGGTGAGGGGCTGCCAGCTTCCACCTCTGCAAAGCCGGCTGCTGTAGCGATAGCAGAAGGAAAAGGTGGGCTAAGGAGGTGTGAGGTGGGCACAAGGCGTGTCCAGTACAGCTCCAGGGAGCTCATTTGTTCAGGATGTCTTTAACTTGTCCAGGAAACTCCCACTCTGAAGCTGATATTTAGCTGGAACATGCTGGTATGGCTGTAGCGACTCTTAAGACTGAGATACTCCCACCCTAGTAGTCAGACACTGCCCGGACTCTCTGAGTGCCCCCCCAACCTGCCACGATGTCCTGACTCCTTCCCTGGGACCCCCAGACCTCCCCAAGATCCCATGGAGCTTTAGTTCTGTGGCCCGTGTCCATTCTGACTAGTATTGCCTCTTATGGGCTGTTAAATTTATTTTTATTTATTTATTTATTTATTTATTTATTTATTTATTTTTGAGACAGAGTCTTGCTCGTTGCCCAGGCTGGAGTGCAGTGGCATGATCTCAGCTCACTACAACCTCCGCCTCCCAGGTTCAAGCCTTCCTCCTGCCTCTCAGCCTCTTGAATAGCTGGGACTACAGGCATGCATCACCACACCTGGCTTTTTTTTTTAGTAGAGATGGGGTTTTACCATGTTGGTCAGGCTGGTCTCAAACTCCTGGCCTCAAGTGATCCACCCACCTCGGCCTCCCAAAGTGCTGGGACTACAAGAATGTGCCACCGCGCCCAGCTAATTTTTATATTTTTATTAGAGATGGGCTTTCACCATGTTGGCCAGGTTGGTCTCGAACTCCTGACCTCAAATGATCTGCCCACCTTGGCCTCCCAAAGTGCTGGGATTACAGGTGTGAACCACCACACCCGGCCTAAATTTGTTTTTTTTAATTTCTGTTTTTAAATATTTTTAATTTTTATTTCTAATTATTTATTGTTTAGAGACAGAGTCTTGGTCTGTTGCCCAGGGTGGAGTGCAGTGGCATGATCACAGCTCACTGAAGCCTTGACCTCCCAGGCTACCCTCCCACCTCAAGCTGCCCTCCTGCCTCAGCCTCCCAAGGAGCTGGGACCACAGTCATACGCCACCACGCCCAGCTAACTTAAATTTTTTTTTTTTTTTTTTTTTTGTAAGGACAGGGTCTCAGTATGTTGCCCAGGCTGGTCTTGAACTTCCAGACTCAAGTGATCCTCCCACCTCAGCCTCCCAAAGTGCTGGGATTACAGGCGTGAGTCACGGTGCCTGGCCCCACATTTTTCATTATGGTAAAAACGTCATGTAACATTTACCGTCGTAACCACTTTAAAGTGTATGACTCAGTGGCATTAAGTACCCTTCTCAGTGTTACGGGATCATCACTATCTGGTTCCAGAACTTTTTTCTTTACGTCAGATGGAAACCCCATGCCCATTTGCAGTTACTCCCCATTCTCCCCTCCCTCAGCCCCTGGCAACCACTAATCTACTCTGTCTCTATGGATTTGCCTATTCTGGATATTACATATAAGTTGAATCTTATAATATAGGCTGTTAAATATTTTATTTCATCACATATATATTTTTGAGATGGAGTCTCACTTTGTCACCCAGGCTGGAGGGCAGTGGCGCGATCTCAGCTCACTGCAATCTCTGCCTCCTGGGTTCAAGTGATTCTCCTGCCTCAGCCTGCCAAGTAGCTGGGACTACAGGTGTGCACCACCATGCCTGGCTAATTTTTGCATTTTTAGTAGACAGGGTTTCACCATGTTGGCCAGGCTGGTCTCCAACTCCTGACCTCAAGTGATCCACCTGCCTTGGCCTCCCAAAGTGTTGGGATTACAGGCGCTCGGCCTGTTAAATATTTTACATAGATATTTTCCCTACCCATGCTTTCTGAAGTACAGAGCAACTTCATAGAGGGAAAATCAGGAAGCTTAAGAGTGAGGGTGAGGGGTTTCTGAGAGTAGGATGTCCAAGTGTGCATGTGTGTTGGGCTGGGCTAGGGGGTGGGCTGCTGGGGGTTACCTTTGGTTTGTCTGGCTCCCGGGAGTAAGCCGTGTACAGCTCTCTGAAGACCCCCTTGTTCTTGGCCTGCAGGGTCTCTTCCCTGTAGATATGATCTATCTTGGATTGCCGGCACCCGAAGACCAGGACCATGGGGCAGGGGTTCATTCCTGGGGACCAGGAAGACCTTATGTCACCGATGGCTCTCTGCCTGATGTGCAGGGTGGCTGAGGTGCCAGGGATGGGGTACTGAGACCTTAGCGTGTGCCATGCGGATAGAGGCTCACAAACACTAGGACAGGCAGATGTATGCGTGCACACACATGTACACAGGTGCTCACATGCACGCACATGCACACACATACACACACATACATATGCACGCACTGAGGAAGGAGGTGAAGTGTGTTCAGATTTTAGTGGATCTCCCTCCCAGGTCTCAATCCTTCCTTCTGCTCCTTGACTACTTAGGAGCCCCCACCTGATGCCCAGACTCTGGGCCTAAGACCCAAGCCTCTGGAGCTAGACGGCCTGGTTGAAATCTCAGCTCTGTGATGAACAACTTACTCAACTTTTTTTTTTTTTTTGAGATGGAGTCTAGCTCTGTCACCCAGGCTGGAGTGCGTGGCACGACCTCGGCTCACTGCAACCTCCACCTCCCGGGTTCAATCCATTCTCCTGCCTTAGCCTCCCAAGTAGCTGGGATTACAGGTGCCTGCAACCGCGCCTGGCTAATTTTTGTATTTTTAGTAGAGATGGGGTTTCACTGTGTTGGCCAGGCTGGTCTCGAACTCCTGACCTTGTGATCTGCCCGCCTTGGCCTCCCAAAGTGTTAGGATTATAAGCGTGAGCCACTGTGCCTGGCCTTTTTATTTATTTATTTTATTATTATTATTATTTTAAGATGGAGTCTCACTATGTTGCCCAGGCTGGAGTGCAGTGGTGTGATCTTGGCTCACTGCAACCTGCAGAGTGAAACCTGCAGAGTTTCACTCTTGTTGCCCAAGGTGGAGTGCAATGGCACTATCTCGGCTCACTGCAACCTCTGCCTCCCGGGTTCAAGTGATTCTCCTGTCTCAGCCTCCCAAGTAACTTGGATTACAGATGTGTGCCACCATGCCTGGCTAATTTTGTATTTTTAGTAGAGACAGGGTTTCACCATGTTGGACAGGCTGGTCTCGAACTCCTGACCTCAAGTGATCCACCTGCCTCAGCCTTCCAAAGTGCTGGGATTACAGGCGTGAGCCACCGCACCCAGCCACGATGTACTCAACTTTCTAAGCCTCTGCTTCCCTATTTGCAAAATGGAAGTAACAGGACTGTTGTGAGAAATGAATGTGAAACATTACAACTCTGCCTGATACCTGGCAAGTACTTTATAAATGTTAGCTATTCCGCTAGAATGACAGTTTCATGGGGGCAAGTTTTTACTGACTGATTGATTTGTTTTTATAATCATCCCTCAAATCAATGGAAAGGTTTTCATTTCTATTTTAGTTGCTTTTCTGTCTTGTTCACTGCTATGCCCCAACGCCTCCAATAGTGTTTGGCACTCATTAGGTGCTCAATAAATCCTTGTTTTATTTTATTTTATATTTTATTTTTTTTCTCAGACGGAGTCTCACTCTGTCACCCAGGCTGGAGTGCGGTGGCACGATCTCGGCTCACTGCAAGCTCCGCCTCCCGGGTTCACGCCATTCTCTCACCACAGCCTCCCAAGCAGCTGGGACTACATGTGCCCGCCACCACGCCGGGCTAAATTTTGTATTTTTTAGTAAAGACAGGGTTTCACCGTGCTAGCCAGGATGGTCTCGATCTCCTGACCTCGTGATCCGCTGGCCTGGGTCTCCCAAAGTGCTGGGATTACAGGCGTGAGCCACCGCGCCCGGCCAATAAATCCTTGTTTAACGCATGCCACAATTTGGGTTTCTTTCTCTCTCTCTCCTCCCAAAGCTGATCTGCTGTGTCTTTCACATAGCACTTGCTCTTGAATAACAGTCTTTGCAATAATTACATAAGCATAGCCATTTGATAAGGACTAATGCCTATCTTTTCCAGGCTACTGGATTTTTTTTGAAGAGATCACATCTTAACAGTCAAAGAAATGTCCTCTGGGCCTGGAATTTCAGGCCCCTGGGACAGGCTGTTTGGATTACACCATGAACTTCACCTGTAGGTCAGGCTGGTGCTACACGCCCCAGCTTTTCTGAGGCGGTGATGCCGTGGAGAGACACCTTCACTGTTCTCTAGGGCTGCTGAGACACAGCTGGACCTCCCCAGGTCCGGGGGTGGGAACCAAGTGGCCACTGGACTGTAACCCACCTTTGTGTTGGATATCAAATTGCCGCTGTTGCCAGAAGCTTCGGAAAGGGGCAATGCCGGTGCCTGGTCCAACGAGGATGCAGGGGACTTGGGGGTTCCGGGGCAGGTGGAAGCTGGGTGCTCTGGGCAAGGAAGAGGGGGTCAGAAGTCTTGCAGAGCTCAAATCCAATCAAGAACAATTGAATCTTAGGTAGACCAGGTGGCCATCTTCGGTAGACATACAATGAGACTTAAGGCTCTTCAGCCGGGGCCAGGTGCCCCTTTCCAGGGTGGGAGTCTCATCGATTAGGGGAATTCCAAAAATGGGGGGTCCTCAAGTTCTGGCTATTTCTCCATTCCCCAATTCTTCTCACTGCTGAGCTCAGCAAATTCAACCCAGGGTATCTCTACGCTGGCACCCTGGTCACTTGGGGTGAACACTCCTTTGTCGTGGCACTGTCCTATGCATGGTAGGGTATTGAGCAACATCCCCGGCTTCCACCCACTAGATGCCAGGAGTACATGTGAGTTGTGACAACTCATAATGTCTCCAGACATTGTCAAATGTCCCTGGGTGGCAGGGGTGGGGTGGGGTGCTGCAAAAATCACCCTGGTTTGAGAGCCACCATTTTTTTTTCTTTCTTTTTTTTTGAGACGAAGTCTCACTCTGTCACCCAGGCTGGAGTGCAGTAGTGTGATCTTGGCTCACTGCACTCCACTTCCCAGGTTCAAGCAATTCTCCTGTCTCGGCCTCCCAAGTAGCTGGGATTACAGGCACCCGCCACCACCCTCGGCTACTTTTTTTTTGTATTTTAGTAGAGATGGGGTTTCGCCATGTTGGCCAGGCTGGTCTCGAACTCCTGACCTCAAGTGATCTGCCTTCCTTGGCCTCCAAAAGTGTTGGGATTACAGGCGTGAGCCACTGCGCCCAGCCCAGAGCCACTGGTTTAACCAACCGTGAAATCTTTAAATCAAGGAGTCACAGACTTCAGTGTGTAAAAGAATCACCTGGGGATGTTCAAGGTGCAGATTCCTGGGCCATACAGTACATCTGGGCTCAGGACTCTATGTTTGAAACACCCCAGAGGACTCTGATGCCAATGAGATTTGGATCATTATCAATGGCATGTGGATCATATCGTGAACATTCTAACCTCAATGGTTGAGAAAAATGATTGGCCAAAGTCACTGTTCAGGTAGAGAAGTTATTGATCGACAAAACAGGTTAACTATAACTGGTCTAAGATCAGCTATAGCCTTTACAGCTGAATTTGGGAGGAAAAGCTCCAATGAATGGGGGTGATTGGATTTTTTCCATCTCTAGGAAACTGGGACTGATTGGGAGCGAGCAGTAGAATTTGGCTAGAATTTCCACTAGCCCATACGGTCCATGAAGGTGGAGACTGTATTTGCATGGTTTTCCCCGATAGCTCCAGCACCTAGCCCAGTACACGCCCAAATGAAATGTGTGTTGCATTGACTTGACATTGACCAGAGGACTTGCCTAGCTTGCTGTGCTGCTCTGATCTTGTTTCCTTAACAACTAAGAGAGACGCAGGACATTGGTCTCCATCGTGTGTCACCCAGCCATCTCTCTAGAACCCTTCAGACTGGTCCACCTACCCCAACTTGTGACGTCAATATGCAGATTTGAGATGATTGCTCATTTTTCTCCACTTATTACTCACCCTCTCACGAAACAGGGGACCAGTTCGTCAGCCTGTATCCGGTTGAGCCAGGAGGAGCATACGCCGTGGTGAATTGGTCCTTCTCCATCTAGTAGAATAACCAAGGCAGTCAGGGCCACCCACTGCTCCCGAGCACGGCCTCCCCTCCTCCCTCCAGTGCAAAATACCCACAGGCCCAGTGCCAAGTTTATCCTTTGGAATTCCTCCCCAGGATCCCTTCCTCTGAAGGGCAAGAGGAAATGGTATAGCTGGGGTGACTTCGTGCCTGTGCAACCACCCAGGGTTCTATTGGGTAGGGGTGGGTCGGATTCGAATCCTTCCCTATTGAAGGGTGCTTCTGGTGGCTTGCTGGGCTCCTGGGACGGGCACTGTGCATTTTAATTGCTTTATCTAGGAGGAAAAATACAGGGCAGAGCTTGGGTTATCTGACTTACAACCAGCTGGGCATGATACAGCAGAGCGCTCTCCCAGGGAGTGAGTAGTGGTGGCTTGTTCTAGTTGCTGCTTTGGGGATATTAGGGGGCGCCACTGTAAATACACATCTTGCCTCTTTCCTAATTCTGCTCAGGCTTGGCTCTGCACCAGGGGACAGTTCACCTGCTGCTTCTTCCCCCAGCTTTCTGGTCTTGGGGATGAGTTTCTTCCCAGGGATTTGGGATTTAGCCTGCAGACGGTGGTTTAGGGAACCCTCCAGAGGCCCCTTGGGGGAAAATGCAGCTGAGGAGGCTCTCCCAGTGCCTCCGCCCACCTCGAGTGCGGTAGGAAACGATGGCCACAGTGAGGTGCACTTCATCAGGGTACATGTCTGGGGAGGAGCTGATGGAATAGTAGCGGGGCTGCAGCAGGGACAGCTGGGTCAGGAGCAGGGTGGCCGGCATCTGGATAGATGGGAACTCCTCCAGCACCTCCACGATGGTGGGGTTCTTGCCCCATTTCCATTCCTCGTACTCCTGCAAACCCTGTGCCAAGGAGATGGACAGAGACAAGCTTGAACCCAGCTGCCACATACTTCCCATGAGGACCTGAGGGGGTCCAGGAAGAAGGCAAAATAAAAGTAACAGTTGGCAGGTGCAGTGGCTCATGCTTGTAATTGCAGTGCTTTGGGGGGCCGGGGAGAGAGGATCACTTGAGGCTAGGAGTTCAAGGCCAGCCTGGGAAACATAGTAAGACCCTGTCTCTACAAAAAATTAAGAAAAATTAGCTGGATGTGGTGGTGGATGTCTGCAGTACCCCAGTTTCTTGGGAGGATGAGGTGGGAGGACTGCTTGAGTTCAGGTGCTTGAGGCTGCCATGAGCTATGATCATGCCACTGCACTCCAGCCTGGGTGACAGAGTGAGACCCTGTTGACAGATAGAAAGAAAGAGAGAGAGAGAAAGAAAGGAACAAAGAAGGAAGGAAGGAGAAGGAAAGAAAGAAAAAGAGAGAGAAGAAAAAAGCAAGAAAGAAAGAAAAGAAAAAGGGAGCAATAATAGTTAACACTTGAATCGCAATTATTCTGTGCTAAGTTTTGATTCTCATGAGGACCTTATGAAATAGGTATTACTGTTTCCCCATTTTATAGATGAGGAAACTGAGGGTTATAGAGGTCCCATGGCTACTAGGTGGTGATGCTGGGTGAAACTGATCCTTGCTCTAGACAGTGTGTCCTCAGAATCTGTGTTCCTAGTCACTACACACTCCTGAAGTCAAGAGAGACGCACTATGGAAGGGAGTCATGACTCATGCAGGGAGTGGCAGGCATTCAGTGGAGACCTGTGATTTGTTGGTTGCAGAGTCTGGAGATGCATCTTTGGAGAGCTTGGGTCATGTTCATGATGGTGAGTGACAGCCCCAGAAAAATCAGGTTGGGGTGTGTGGAGGACCATGTTTGGGGACGTGTTGACAGCAAAGCCCAGCTGTAACCAGGCAACAGAGGAACTCTCTGGAGCTCTGGAGTTATTTTTCCTTAATCTCAGAAGACGCCCTAGGCAGTCTCTGATTGCTGGAACAGAAGGCTCAGTTTCTGAGACCAGGGTGCGAGTGCACTGTGTAACAAAGATTTTCACCATGTTCCTAAAGACTGTCCTGGCCTTATTTATTTATCTATTTTTAAACTTTTTTAAATTTATTTTTTTTGAGATGGAGTCTCACTCTGCTGCCCAGGCTGGAGTGCAACGGCACGATCTTGGCTCACTGTAAGCTCCGCCTCCCGGGGTTCACGCCATTCTCCTGCCTCAGCCTCCCGAGTAGCTGGGACTACCGGTGCCCGCCACCACGCCCAGCTAATTGTTTGTATTTTTAGTAGAGACAGGGTTTCACCGTGTTAGCCAGGATGGTCTCAATCTCCTGACTTCGTGATCCACCCACCTCGGCCTCCCAAAGTGCTGGGATTATAGGCATGAGCCACTGCGACCGGCCTGTTCTGGCCCTATTAATAGGCGATGGCATCCTTGACATTGTGCTTCTCAGACCTCCAGCCTGACTGGCCTGCAGTTGCAGGAGCAACATGGACCAAGAGCCCTGGCCTCTCAACTCTTTGAAACTGACATCACCTGAAACTGACATCCATCACCCTGTTGGTGCCAGGCCTGGCTTCCCACAGGCTGCTCCCTGCCAATGACCAAGCACAGGAGTCTCCAGGGCTACTCAAGGACCTTGCTGGGCCTTCCTTAAACTGCACTGCTATCTAGAATGTTCCCATCCAACCTTTCTTCCTTTTCCTTTGGTTGGGGTTAGATTTGTTTTGAGGTCTGATGGTTCTCCCAGCCTTATCTGATCCCTTTCCATTTTCTGTCACACAGGTGTTTCCCCTAATAAAAATCCTTTCTCATTTAATCCTGTCTTGAAGTCTGCACTTTTTGGAAGAAATGAACTAATACATATGGGTTATATCAAATTCTTCTATCTATCTATCTATCTATCTATCTATCTATCTATCTATCTGGAGACAGATTCTCGCTCTGTCACCCAGGCTGGAGTGCAGTGGCATGATCTCGGCTCACTGCAACCTCCGTCTCCTGGGTTCAAGCGATTCTCCTACCTCAGCCTCCCGAGTAGCTGGAATTACAGGTGCCCACCACCACACCAAGCTAATTTTTGCATTTTTAGTAGAGACGGGGTTTCACCATGTTGGCTAGGCTGGGCCCGAACGCCTGACCTCAGGTGATCCGCCTGCCTTGGCCTCCCAAAGTGCTGGGATCACAGGCGTGAGCCACTGTGCCCGGCCTATTTATTTATAGAGATGGGGTCTTGCTTTATTTATTTATTTACTTATAGAGATGGGGTCTTGCTCTTTCATCCAGGCTGGAGTACAGTTGCAAGATCGTGATTCACCACAGCCTCGAACTCCTGGGCTCAAGTGATCCTCCCACCTTAGCCTCCTGAGGAGCTGGGTCTACAGGCATGTGCCATGACGCCCAGCTAATTTAATTTTTTTGTAGAGATGGGGTCTATGTTGCCCGGGTTGGTTCCAAACTCCTGGCCTCAAGCAATCTTCCCAACTCTGCCTCCCAGAGTGCTGGGATTACAGGCATGAGCCACTGTGCCCAAATTCTGCTTTAAATAAGATAAAAACAGTGCAATCTAATAAGGTACCAACAGTACAATCTATGATCCTTCTTCCTATTAGCCACCCTCCCCCATTAATTAAAAGTTTTAAATCAAAATTATACTTGCAGATAGTCTAAAAAGTTAAATAACTTTGTAAAGCTTATGATTAAAAATAATGGTCTCCTGTTCTACCTCTGCCATCTGCTTCCAAGTCCTTGGAGGTAACTACTTACAGCCCTTTAAGTGTTCCTTCTGCTATTTATTTTCATATTTCTAAATACTATGCACTCGCTAATTAGCCTCTTCCTTGCTGCCCACCATTCAATCCCCTCTCCTGGACGGCAGAAGAAAGCTAAGCCATCCTGTGCTGGGGGCTTGCTCACTGGGAAGGAGCCCCCATTGGGAGCAGCATGGGTGGTTCTCCTGGGTAGAATTTTTATTGAGCAAGGCTTTGCAGTGGGCTGGGGCAGGTGATCCCAGGGTTTCTAAGCAAGGTGGTAGAGGCTACATTTGGTTCATTTTACAATCAGAGACCTCTGATCTCTAATAGTCCCCCCTGCAGCTCCTCTGCATTGGCAAAAGCTCATCATTTGCAGCCACATGGATGGAACTGGAGGACATCATGTTAAGTGAAGGAAGCCAGGCACAGTAAGACAAATTTTGCACGTTCTCATTCATTTGTGGGAGCTAAAAACTAGAAGCAAATAAAGTCATGAAGATGGAGAGTAGAAGGAGGGCTACAAGATGCAGGGAAGGGTAGTGGGGAGGAGTGGGGGAAAGTGGAGATGGTTCATGGGTACAAAAATACAGTCACATAGAATGAATAAGATCTAGGCCGGGTGCAGTGGCTCATGCCTGTAATCCCAGCACTTTTGGGAGGCCGAGGTGGGTGGATCACCTGAGATCGGGGTTTGATGGTGAAACTCCATCTCTACTAAAGAAAAAAACTACAAAAATTAGCTGGCCATGGTGGAAGGCACCTGTAATTCCAGCTGCTCGGGAGGCTGAGGCACGAGAATCCTTTGAGCCCGGGGAAATGGAGGTTGCAGTGAACCGAGATTGCGCCACGGCACTCCAGCCTGGGCTAGAGAGTGAGACTCTGTCTCAGAGAAAAAAAAAAAGAATAAGATCTAGTATTTCCTAGATCTAGACAAGGTGACTATAGTCAACAACAATTTATTGTATATTTAAAAATAACTAAAAGAGTGGAATTGGAATGTTCCCAACACAAAGAAATGATGAATGCTTGAGGGGATGAATACCCCATTTGCCCTGATGTGATTATTACACATTGTATGCCTGTATCAAAACATCACATGTACCCCATAATATATATACCTACCAACCAAGTACCCATAAAAATAAAAATTAAAAAAACAAAAAACAAGAAAAAACCTTATCTTTAAACCAAGGCATGGTGAGATCCTGTTTCTTTTTCTCCTAAGCATGGGCTAAGATGGCACTAATGGAAGCTCAAGGTTCCAGAAGAAGACAGAAAGAGTTAGAATAGCAATTTCTGTTGTAGCCAGGGAACTGTTGATTCAAGGGAGTCACTCTTGCTCTGCCAGGCCTTAGAACTGGTGGAAGACCAGCCACGTTGGACCAGCCAATATGGCAATCTACAGCAAATAATGGCCCCCTTGGCTCAAGACTTCCATCTGCTGGAAGCCTGGTAATAACAGTTTTCAACTCTTTAATGACGAGGAGGTGAAATGCGCCCCCTAGGGTTGTGCGAAGCCTGGGGACCCACCTTGCTGAGGACCAGCAGACGCTGCTTCTCCTTCTCGCTGGTAGCTAGGGAGGCAAACTGCTGCAGCTGCAGAGGCGTTGGTGGCGTGGTGATGTCCAGGTAGTACTTGAAGGCCTGGAAGATGGTGCAGGGCGGGAGGCGGAGCTCGTCTGTCCAGTTACTGATGACACCTGTGGAGGTACAAGGCAGGTGACAGGTGGGTGTGGGAGGGCTTGAGTCCAAGTCGGGGGTTCAGGTCTGCTCCTGGAGCAGAGGATGGGGCCAGGAGAGGAGGGTGGCTCCAGAGCCAAGCAACCTTCTAGCTCTCCACCTTCCATGCCCAGAATCCAGGGGATTTCATGTGTGCAAGAAGCAAATCCCAAATTAGGCAAATGAATCCAAAAATTAAGAAAAATACATGAAGAGAGGAGAAAAATACTAAAATAGCATGACAGTCCACTGGCATTCTATACAATGAGCCCCCAGCTGTGCGTGACAGAGATAAGCCTATTTCGGCCCCATGTGTCTTTGCATGGTATCAGCCTCTCACCCCCTGAATGGGATGTTAGTGTTGTCATTATAAACACTAACACATTCTATATGCCGAGTACTATTATTAGTATTTTATATTAGCTCATTTAATCATCACAACAATCCAAGACAGTGTTATTCTTCTCCCTGCTGAGAAAAATAGAAGCATGGAGAGGTTAAGAAATTTGCCCGAGATCACACAGCTCATAAGCGTGAAGTCAGGCAGTGTGGCTTCAGACGTTGTTCTAACTACTATATTGTACCCCCTCTATACACTCTTCATCCAATACGTCCCTAAATATAAGCCTCTTCTCCATCAGGGGTTCAATCCCAAATAAAAAGCTCTATTTCAACACAGAGGAAGTACTGTCTGGGTTGGATTTATTTTTATTTTTATTTTATTTATTTATTTTTTTGAGACAGGGTCTCACTCTGTTGCCCAGGCGAGTGCAGTGGTGCGATCACAACTCACTGTAGCCTTGAACTCCCGGGCTCAAGTAATCCTCCCACCTCATGCTCCTGAGTAGCTGGGACTACAGACGTGTGCCATCATGCCTCACTACTTTTTTTTTTTTTTTTTTTTTTGAGATGGAGTTTCGCTTTTGCTGCCCAGGCTGGAGTGCAATGGTGTGATGGTGTGATCTTGGCTCACTGCAACCTCTGCCTCCTGGGTTCAAGCGATTCTCCTGCCTCAGCCTCCTGAGTAGCTGGGATTACAGGCATGTGCCACCATGCCTGGCTAATTTTTTGTATTTTTAGTAGAGATGGCATTTCACCATGTTGGCCAGGCTGCTCTCAAACTCCTGACCTCAGGTGATCCACCTGCCTCAGCCTCCCAAAGTGCTGGGATTACAGGAGTGAGCAACCATGCCCGGCCTGATGCCTGGCTAATTTTTGTATTTTTTTTGTAGAGATGCAGTTTTGCCATGTTGCCCAGGCTGGTCTCGAACTCCTGGGCTCAAGTAATCTGCCCGCTTCAGCCTCCCAAAGTATTGGGATTACAGGCGTCAGCCACCTCACTCAGTCAGGATTTATTAAGAGAGGGTATGTCTCAGCCGGGTGCGGTGGCTCATGCCTGTAATCCCAGCACTTTGGGAGGCCAAGGCGGGTGGATTACCTGAGATCAGGAGTTTGAGACCAGCCTGGCCAACATGATGAAACCCTGTCTCTACTAAAAATACAAAAAATTAGCTGGGTGTGGTGGCACGCGCCTGTAATCCCAGCTACTCAGGAGGCTAAGGCAGGAGAATCGCTTGAACCTGGGAGGTGGAGGTTGTGGTGAGCCAAGATTGCGCCACTGCACTCCAGCCTGGGCAACAAGAGCAAAAGTCTGTCTCAAAAAAAAAAAAAAAAAAAAAAAGAGGGTATGTCTCTCTAAAGTAGTGCCTTCCTGAGAGGTTTTCAGCAGGGCTTTGACTACATGCTACTTCACATTCTATCTTGACTTTACATCCTAGCTCTTTTGTAAAAGTGACAGTCCTGTATTGGTCTGCCAGGTAAGCTCACTGCAGTTCCTTGTACCTGACTCCTGAGCCCACCTGTGCTCCTGGATGAAGCACTGAGACCCATTTGCCTTTGAAAGTTCTTCAATATGAATGTCAAGGATGGACACTTAAGCAGGCGAGAACTTGACCTAATGAGGTAAAAAACGTGGGCTCAATCCCTAGTTGGCCATCGAGCTTCCTATAGTACCTTTTGATTCTAAGAGGAGGCAGGATCAGACTTCAGCTGTTATTTACTTGGTGGACAATGGGGTACTAGAGATTTTCCTGAGGGCTAGTGGTGAGGATGGAAAGTGAAAAGAATGGCTACTGCTAAAGTCCGTGTCTAGTCAATGAAGGAAGGTAGCAGCCCCCTTTTTTCAATGGTGAGCCATCAATGGCCTGGCACTATGTGCATTTATTTGCTCAGCTGGTTGGGCCAAGGTTGATCAGTCATGAGAAAGGGGGATATCTTTAGTCTCATAGGCTGTTAGCAACAGACACCCACTCTCCTGCCTGGACTGGTGATTGGGAAGAAAAGGTATCTTCTTCCCGAGACACCCACTGCCTCTGCAGCTCCCTAGAGCAGGGAAGGGTCCCCGGGAATGTTACCTAAAGCCGTGTTCCGCTCCTCCAGCAGTTCCACTTTCACCATCTGGTTGACAGGCGGCGCGTCCTCCAGCCGCTCGATCAGGGCATTCACGAGGTCCTCGTGGTTGCCAGGGAAGACACCCAGGTGGTCCCCAGGCTGGTACTGCAGCTCCTGGCTCCCGTTGGTGTGGAGACGCACGAAGATAGTTGACCGACTGCAGGAAATTGCAGAGGAATCATAGGACAAGGGCCAGCAGCTACTTCCTCCTTTTTTTGCTCTTCTGTCTGTCCTTGTTGGCTGCAATTCTCCTCCTTCCATTCTTGTTGGGGCCCGTGCTAACCAAGCCTATGCCCCCATCATTCTATTATTATTATTATTATTATTATTATGGTGAGATAGGGTTTTGCTCTGTCACCCTGGCTGGAGTGCAGTGGTGCGATCACGGCTCACTGCAGCCTCTATCTCCCAAGCTCAATGATCCTCCCACCTCAGCCTCCCAAGTAGCTGGGACTATAGGCAGGCACCGTCATGCCTGGGTAATTTTGGAATTTTTTGTACAGATGGAATTTCCCTATGTGGCCCAGGCTGGTCTCAAACTTGTGAGCTGAAGCAATCTTCCCACCTCGGCCTTCCAAAGTGCTAGGATTACAAGTAAGGGCCACAATGCTCAGCCATCATTCTACACTGAGGCTTTTATCAAGGTCACCAGTGAACTCCTCACTGCAAATCCAGTGGCTGGTTCCTAGGGTTCATCTGGATCTGGAAGCAGTATTGGGCATAACTCCTCATTCTCTCCTTCTTAACTCCCTTCTTTTGGATTCTAGCACCCCATTCTCAGTACTAATAGGGGTTCTCTCAGTGTCTAGCACTTCACTGGGACCACAGGCTGTGGCATCCCCAATCTGTGAAATTCTATATCTCCTAGGAATTCCAAGCCCCACCCCCTTTGGCAACCAGGGTTCCTCGTATTGTTATGGTAAAGGAAAAAAGACTTGGCTTTAAGCTTGGGTTCCTCCTATGCATAAATTCATCAATATTACAAAATTGAGAGATCTAAAAAGAAAACACAGAAGGAAACTCATTGATGCCACCGGGTTATAACCTTTCTGCATTGATTTTTGTGTTTCAAGTTCAAGAGGCCTGTGCTAATCCAACAGCTTTCAATAATAAACTCTCAGAATGTGATTATTCTGGTCCTTTAAAAAGTTTCAGTACAGGCTGGGCACGGTGGCTCACGCCTGTAATCCCAGCACTTTGGGAGGTGGAGGTACACAGATCACCTGAGGTCAGGAGTTTGAGACCAGCCTGGCCAACATGACAAAACCCCGTCTCTACTAAAAACACAAAAATTAGCTGGGCATTGTGGCATGTGCCTGTAATCCCAGCTACTTGGGAGGCTGAGGCGGGAGAATCGCTTGAACCCAGGAGGTGGAGGTTGCAATGAGCAGAAACTGCACCACTGCATTCCAGCCTGGGCAACAGAGCGAAACTACATCCTCCCACCCCAACCCAAAAAACAAACAAACCCCATATCTGTATTTCAGTACAGATATACTGCATTTCACCCAACACCTGCAAACTCGAGGATCGATTACACTTTGAGAAATCAAATCCTTTGCACCCTTTGAGCTACGATTGCTTTTTCAGATCTGCTTTTTCTTCATTGCCAATTAATTTTCAGTGGCTAGAGACGCTTGATATTCAACATGAAGTTTCTATATTCTCTATGGTATGTAAATCAACACTTGAATAGCCCAATGGGACTCGCTATTTAAAGGACTTTTTGGCTCAACCGAGAACCTTTTGTGCTACAAATAGCCACCATTATTAAAAAGAGTTGAGCGGGCACATTATTTTGGGGGAGGAAAGGGTGTCAAGTATTTTCTTGAAGCAAGGCATCCCCGCCCTTAGCATAGTGGGGAACTTAGCGACCATAATTGTGAATGGCAGTATTAGAGTCTGGAGTCCCACTGGCCCTCCATGGGCAGACCTTGCCCTGTCTGGGAACTTGCACGACTGAGCCTTCTCAGAGCTCACACCAGTCTTTGGTTCCTGGGGAGCAAAAAGACAACACCTCCAGAGAGCTGCAAGAAGGAACTCGCAGAAGCCGGGGCCAGCAGGGGGCGCTGTGGGGTTTCTAATTTGGGAGCCTCCTAAGTCTACCCAAAGGAAGCCTTTGAAAGGCCCGCAAATCAATTCCCGCTTTCTTCCCAGATCATCACGATTTGTACAAAATAGAAATGCAGAGGACCCAAACTTGCTGAGCTAGCTCACGAGCACAGCCACCTCCCCCAAAGTCCTCTTGAACGAGGCAGAGGGTGGCCGTGCAGACAAGGAGCAGGCATGGGAACGTGGCTGGCAGGTGGGCTAGAATGCAAGGTGGGCCCAGGCTCTGGCCCTGCTGGGAGTTTAACCAAGGGGACTGACTCTGCATGCCGCTTGCTGAGAACCCTGGCAGAATGGCTGTGGGGCCCCAGGGCACCTTGGTGGACTGGTCTTTGATGCTTTGCTGGGAAGCCGACCCTCTGGGCGATAGCACTGGCTCAGAAACCAATTGTCTTAAATCTCAGTTCTGCTGAGCTTTGTAAGTAGAGAATTTTTAGCATTTCATTATTATTTTTATTTTTTTTTGAGATGGAGTCTCTCTCTGTTGCCCAGGCTGGAGTGCAGTCCACCTCCTGGGTTCAAGAGATTCTCCTGCCTCAGCCTCCCGAGTAGCTGGGATTACAGTAGCCCGCCACCATGCCCGGCTAGTTTTTGTACTTTTAGCAGAGACAGGGTTTAACCATGATGGCCAGGCTGGTCTCAAATTCCTGATTTCAGATGATCCACCGCCTCAACCTCCCAAAGTGCTAGGATTACAGGTGTGAGCCACCACGCCTGGCCTATTTTTTATTTTTTCTTCAAGCTTGGGACACATATGGGCCATATGAGAAGTACAGGGAGAAGGGGAAGAGGCAATGGAACAGCAGCAGCCATTTGGGCCCTATTCCCTTCTCCCCCCGAGTGTCCCCTCTGTGTGACTTATGTCTAGCCACATCCAGAAGCATCACATATACACACATGCTTGGCGGTGGCTCAATGATAGGTTTGCAGATGAAAGAATAATTTGCTAATGTCCAGCATTAAATGGAAAAAAAAAAACAGAAAATGTGCATTCTTCAGTGAAAAGAGTAAATATTGTCACCTGTGAACTGCTCAAGGTAACAAGGTTCATTCATTCCACACCTGTACATCATGTGTCAGGCACTGTTCTAGGCACTGGTGAGAGAGGGGAAGGACAGCAAAGTGCCCTATTCTCATTGAGAAGTCACTTAAAGGATCTCAGGTGGGGTTGGTGATGTGGACGAGTGGGTGGTGATGGGTTGAGGGGAGCAGGCTATGTCAGACAGGACGGTCAGGGAGACTTCTCTGGCGATTTGACACTTAAGCAGAGACGTGCAAAGACCTGCAGGCACAGCATTCCAGGGATGGGGAAGAGCACGTGCAAAGGCCCAGAGGCAGAGAAAAGGTGGCATGTTCAAGGAAGGGAAAGAAGGCTGGAGTGTTTGTTTGGAGGGTGGTAGTGGCCAGATCACAAGAGCCTCATGATGACCTGTCATGGCAAGGAGTTTGGAGGTTTCCTAAAGTCCAGCAGGAGACCATCAGGGGCTGTGAAGCTGGGGAGTGACAGGCTTCAATTTATGGTTTTAAAAGATTCCTCTGTCTGAGGACCCACTTGCATAGTAAAAGATTAGGGTGGGGGTGGCCAGAAATTCACACCCTATACAAGTAGGACACCTAGTCCTAACCAGTTTTTCGCGCCCTATGCAAATGGGACGCCTGGTCCAACCAATATTTTGCGTCCTATGTAAATCAAACACTGCCTCCTCACCAGGCATCTATAAACCCCCCTGCATTTCACCGTGGATCTGGCAACCCATTTCTCCAGGACCCCTCTGTGCAGCAGAGAGCTATTGTTTCTTTTCTTTTCTTTTCTTTTCTTTTTTTGAGATGGAGTCTCACTCTATTGCCCAGGCTGGAGGGCAGTGGTGCAATTTTGGCTCACTGCAACCTCCACCTCCCAGGTTCAAGTGATTCTCCTGCCTCAGCTTCCTGAGTAGCTGAGATTACAGGCACCTACCACCACACTCACCTAATTTTTGTATTTTTAGTAGAGACAGGGTTTCACCATGCTGGCCAGACTGGTCTCAAACTCCTGACCTCATGATCCGCCTGCCTCGGCCTCCCAAAGTGCTGGGATTACAGCTGTGAGCCACTGCACCCGGCCCTTTCTTTCACCTATTAAACTTCCACTTTTAACCTCAAATAAATAAATACATAAAATAAAGGAAAGAAAAAAAGGAAAAATTCTTCCGTCTGCTCTTCGGAAAATGATGTTTTTAGACACAAGCTTAGAAACCAAGAGACAAGTTGGGTGGCTATTCCAGTCACTCCGACCAGAGATGCCTATGGCTTTGCTCAAAGTGGTGGGTCTGAGATGTAGTTGAAAGACAAGGCCAAGGGCATCTGCTAAGAGACTGCATGACCCAGGCGAGGGAGAGAGAGGAGTGAGGATGACACTGGAAGTTTTGGCTGAAGCCAAATGTTGATGTCCTCTGTTGAGACTGGGAAGGCTGGAGAGAAGAAATTTTACTTGACGGGGGATGAGACTGAAGCATTCTCCCCATCAAGAACTCTCCACTGTAATGTCTGCCATTCTCCCAGACATCCCGGTGCTGACCTTGACTTCTGCTGTTCTTTCTTTCTGGACCTCCCTCCTCTCTCCTGCCTTTCTAAAGCCCACCCTCCCTTAAGAGGTTCATCTCAAGTCCTGCATTCCCCTCTTGCTCCTGACTTCTAGAACTTAGTGTCTACACCCCACACATTAGCGATCCATTATGTTGTCTCTTCTGTGTCGTTTGCTAATTGTTGTACGTGCATTAGAAAATTTATTTCCAGGCTGTGATGGTGACTGCGGTCACTTTTCTCTTTAGATTTTCAAGGATCACCCTCAAAAGGCTGCCTACTTCCTCATAAGCACTTTGTCTGCAATTAGTGGTCTCTCACAGGGGGATTAGTGATATCTTGGTTGTGGCCTTTTGGGCCAGACAGCCCAACTTCAGCCTCAGGCGGGAGAAAAACAGGAGAGTCATGCTTTTCCACTCAATTATCCTTTTTCTTCTTCTTTTTTTTTTTTATAAGCCTTATGAAGCTGGAAACGGTATTAAGCTTGAAAATAGGTAGTGCTTTTAAAGCACTTTAAGCTTGAAAATACAGAACATACTTTTTAAGAGATAAACACGGAGGTGTGACTGGGTCCTTTTTGTGCTAATTCATAACTGATTTTAATTCTACACTCCAGTTCTAACCTTGTTTGGAATATTCTCTTGCTAGTCACTTTTAGACCCGTAGCTTAGAGTCAGGTGCCTCCTCTGGATTGGTGGGGGTGGGGGCTGATTTTGGGACTTTTGGTTCCACTTAGTATCAAAACATTTGCAAGTTTCCTTACTACTTATGTACTATGGCTTTTGGAGTAAATTCTGTAAGCTGGTCTTTCATAGTTTGTTGCTGAAAGAAATTTCCAGTAGATTATTAGGCCTTCTCATACAATGCTACTTAAATCATCCCTTCCCATAGGACCAAAATAAGTAGTGAGAAATATATTTCAAATATGGAGCCCCTCTCTGCATCAGGGACCATTATGCTCTGAATTGCACTTAACTAATTATTCAGAGATTAATTTCCCACTCCATTTCTTTAATGTTTGAGAATCTAAGAGAGAATATGAGAGCCCTGGGGCTCTGCTGTGTTGATCACTTTTATCAAAGGTTTGGAGGATTACATAGAAAGCACACACACTAAATTTGCAGGTGACATGAAGCAGGGATGGATAAGGAATACGGATGGGACTCTATGATATGCTAGTTGTTTTATGTAGCTTATTTTTAATACTCAGCAGCCTTGCAATGCTGGTGAGGCCATCTGTGTAGCCATTTGGCACACTGACTTTGGCGTCAGATAACCGGGTCGGTGTGACCTTGAGAAAGTCACTTGTGTTTTCTAGCTGTCATTGTTCCTATTTAAAATGTGTATGATAAGAGTGCCTACTTCCCAGGCTGGTTAGAATTATAAAAGATCCTGGACAGAGGACTCAGCACAGTGCTTGGAACACAGAAAGCTCTAGAAAAACATTAGCAATCTTCAGAGCTATCATTCCCATTCTGTAGGTAAGGAGACAGGGACTCAGACCACCTAAATGACTTGGCCAAGGCCGCACAGCTAGTGTGTGGCAGAGCTGGGATTAGAACCCAGGACTGCTCAACTCAAGAGCCTACTCTTAGACATCACATCTCAAATTGATCAAACCGGCTCTGTCCATCCATCTCTCTCCTTGTATAAGTAATTTTTCTTTTTCTTTTTTTTTTTTTTTTGAGACAGAGTCTCATTCCGTCGCCCAGGCTGGAGTACAGTGGTGCAACCTTGGCTCACTGCAGCCTCCGCCTCCTGGGTTCCAGCGATTCGCCTGCCTCAGCCTCCTGAGTAGCTGGGATTATAGGCCCCCACAACCACGCCTGGCTAATTTTTGTATTTTTAGTACAGACGGGGTTTCACCACGTTGGTCAGGCTGGTCTCGAACTCCTGACCTCGTGATCCACCCGCCTTGGCCTCCCAAAGTGCTGGGGTTACAGGTGTGAGCCACCGTGCCTGGCCAAGTAATTTTTCTAGCACTAATGAAGGTCTTTGCATTAGTTCCCATTGAATGGAATGTTTTTCACTTTGTAGTTATAGCAGAAGATCTTTTCAAGTCTTGATTCTTTGCGCAGCATAGCTCACTGCAATATGCTTGGTTCACCGGGTTACCCACCTCTGTTCCCAGAGCAGCAAGGGGGTCCTATGGCACTTTGCAATGATTGGAAAACAGCCAGTCCTTGGAATCAACAAGAGCTTGTCCTTTATTGTGGGTGGCACCTGGGAGCAGAGGTGGGTAACCTGGTGAACCAAGCACAGCACAGTGAACTATGCTGTGCAAAGAATCAAGACTTGAAAAGATCTTCTGCTGTAACTACAAAGTGAAAAAGATTCCATTCAACAGGGATCTATGCAAAGACTTTCATTAGTGCTAGAAAAATTATTTATACAAGTAGAGAGATGAGCAGACCTGGTGTGATCATTTTGAGAAGACGTGATGTCTAAGAACAGCAGCGACCGCTTTTAATGGAAGAGCAGAACGGCCATCAGAACCGCGCCTGCGATCTCAGGCAGCATTAGCGCGTCCTGTTCAAATTGGTGATGGTAATAATAACCTCAGCATATTTGGCAGTGATCACATGCTCTCCACTGCACTGTGACCAGGTGAGAGTGACATTTCCAGCAGGACAGAGTGTGTCCTTTTACTAAAGCCAGAGGCTTGGGAAACCATCTCTTAGGAAGAATGACTTGAAGGAATCAGGCCCCACAGGAGATTGGTCAATGTTGTTGGCTATTTCCAGGTCTTTCATTTGGAAAGAAATAAACTTATTTTAGGTGTCACAGAGAGTAAAACTGGGTTTAAAATAAAGTACTAGGAAGACATGCTTTGGTTACATTAGATAAAAAGATATTGGTTATATTGGATATTAAGCTAATTTCTAACACTTAGGACTTCAAAACACAGAGTGGGCTGTTTTGTGAGGTAATGAACCTCCCATCAACCCAAAGAAATTTAAGCAGAGTGTGGGTAGCCACTTTTTAGCACTCCATTAAAAAAATTATCCACAATAGGAAATACTTGGACTAAGTGATTTCCAGCTAAGATGCTGTGGTACAACGAACATGTGGCGAAGCTACAGGGGTGTGGTCTACTGTTAAAAATCACTCAGAAAACCTTTTTCTTTCCTCTTTTCATGAGACCAATACCATCTCCTTTTTCCACTCCTTCAGGTTGGAGCTAGGCAAAAGGAAAGCAGGAACCCCAGACACTATAAAGCAGCAAGGGGGTCTCTATGGCACTTTGCAATGATTGGAGAACAGCCAGTCCTTGGAGTCCACAGGGCTTGTCCTTCATCGTGGGTGGCATTTGGGAGAAGACGTAGGTAACCCAGTGAACCAAGATGTTCCTACCTGGATTTAGGGCTCTGGAGGTTTTGACGGCTAAGGAGCCGGGCAGCTGAGACTCGCTTTTTGTGGACATTGGATAGACCTGTGGGGAGAAAAACAACAGTCTTCCTGAGAAGGGGTTGAATGTTCCATTAAAAACTCCCCAGGTGGGGCAACGTGGCTCACGCCCATAATCCCAACTACTTAGGAGGCTGAGGTGGGAGGATCACTTGAGGCCAGGGGTTCAAGACCAGCCTGGGAAACATAATGAGATCTTGTCTCAGAATATTAATACAAACAAACACTCTGCAGCATTGTATTCACCCTCTACTGACACTTCCACTGCTCTCTGGAGTAGAATGAGAGACAGAAGAGAGGAGATGAGGCAGGCATTGGTTGGGATGGGTGGGGTGGTTGTGGGTAGTGCAGAACAAAAAGAAAATATAGTTGAGTTAAGTTGAGAAGAGGATGGTTTGGAAGAACACAGTACATTACTAGAGAGAGAGAGGGAAACATTTACCAGCACTTGTTTTACTGAGTGTGGGAGAGCAGCAAAGTATTCATTTTGGTAGGACTGCACTAAAGGGAGATCAAAGCAATGAAGCCCATCTTCTCTAAGCACCTTCTGGAGGTGAGATCACCTGCCTTTCCCCCATTGTCACGAATACCTCCCTGGAAGGGTGGTGGGAGGTACCTTGTGTGAGTTCTGGAGCTTCGGCCACAAAGGTGAGGCGGAACTTGTTTCTCTTCCAGCTGCGATCATTGCTGATGAGGGAATTGTTGGCCTTTTCAATGTTGACATCATCTCCCACACAGAAGACATCACAGGCTGCCTGTGGTGTACACAAGGCTTTCAGTGACCTCTTTCAGCCAAGCGGATCTCCTCTCCAACAGCTCCAAGTCATGGCATGTATCTCTTCATTCACCCATCCATCCATCTATCCAACCATCCATCCATCCATCCATCCATCCATCCATCCATCCATCCAGTAACCCTTCCCTCCTTCCCTTCTTCCTTCCCTTCCTTTCTTCCCTCTACCCTTTCGTTGTCTTCCTTCCATCCATTCACCCATCCACTCATCTACTCTTCCATTCATCTACCCTTCCACCCTCCCATCCATGTATCTATCTTTCCATCCATCCATCCATCCACCCATCCATCCACCCACCCACCCATCCATCTTTCCATGCATCCATCCTTCCCTCCATCTACCCACCCACTCATCCATCTTTCCATGCATCCATCCTTCCATCCATCTACCCACCCACCCACCTATCCATCTATCTTTCCATGCAGGCATGCATCCATCCATTCATCTATCCATCCATCCATCCTATATATTTTGAGTGTCTGCGATGTGCTGGACACGTCGGATTTGACATTGACTTTAGGACCTAACCTGTACTTAAGATATAATTCTATTGCGTCATTTATTCCTAAAACTGATGTGTGTAGAGGTTTAACATTAAAGAAGAAAGTAAACATCTCAGAATTTCCCAATCCATCTTCCTTTAATATTTAAGAATTACATAAAGGCAGAGCATATTGAATGTCTGGATGACTGCAAATACATTTTTCTTTTTTTTTTTTGGTCAAGCTCACTTGTTCTTTGACTTTAACAATTCTAAGAATTGCTGTCCTTATTTATTTATTTATTTAAGACAGAATCTCACTCTGTCACCCAGGCTGGAGTGCAGTGGTGTGATCTTGGCTCACTGCAGCCTCGACCTCCTCCCCAGGTTCAAGTTATTCTCATGCCTCAGCCTCCCAGGTAGCTGGGATTACAGGCATGTGCACCATGCCCAGCTAATTTTTAGTAGAGACAGGGTTTCGCCATGTTGGCCAGGCTGGTTTCGAGCTTCTGGCCTCAAGCAATTTGCCCGCCTCAGCCTCCCAAAGTGCTGGGATTGCAGGCATGAGTCACCATGCCCAGCCAATGTCCTGATTTACTTTTTAAGATAAAACCACAGATAATTCAAAATAATGATAACTTTTAAGAGTAGTTTTTACCATTGTTTGACCTCATGTTGACTTCAAAACAATCCAAATGTTCATCAGTGGATGAATGGATTAACAAGATTTGACACATCCATACAACGGAATATTATTTGGCTATAAAAAAGGATGAAGTTCTGATACATGCTATGACACGGATGAACCTTGAAAACATTATACTAAGTGAAAGAAGTCAGTCACAAAAGACCACATATTATATGATTCCATTCATGCGAAATGTCCAGCACAGGGAAATCTACAGAGACAGGAAGTAGATTTGTGGTTTCGAGAGCTGGGGGTGGGATGGGAGGACAGGAGGTTGACAGCTAAAGGGTACAGTGGCTTTTCACAGGCCTTGCTTCCTGGTTGCTCAGTCAAGGTTGGCTGATGGAAATCAAGCAACAGAATTATCTCAATGGGTATAAAAAGCCGTTATCTCATCTCTCTTTGTCTGGGAGGAAATGCAGGAACAGGCTGATGAACATCGCCTCCCCACCTGGAAATCTTTATAGCCCAGGGGCCTCAGCTTCCCCATTTGCTCTCTACCTGCATTTGCTTTCAGGATGAAAAGCGCCAACTGAATGACAGAAGGTTGCATAGTACCCTTTCCCCTGGGGTTGCTGAGGAGAATGTATTCCAAGGCTAGGATGGAGTGGGTAAAACTGGCACAGTCTACATTTATTACCACCTCCCACCCCAGAATGGCCAGTTTAGTTATCCTCATATGCAGACAGAAGGCCATGCATGGTTCATTTATCCCCCGGTGGCCTTAAATTTAAAACAGCTCTGGCCAATAGGATGTCTTATCATGATGGAAAGGTTCTGCACTGTCTAATAGGGTAACCCCTACCCCTGTGGCTACTGAGCATACAAAATGTGCTTACTGCAACTGAGCAATGGGATTTTTTTTAAATACTGAAGAAAGATAACAGTTTATTATAATTTATTTTATTTAACAATCTAGGAAGTTCCAGTGCAATTTCAGGTATAACTGGGGATTCTGGAATCTCAGTGGAGCTGTGACTGTAGTGAACGTTGTATGTGAAATGTGTGCCACACCTGTAATCCCAGCACTTTGGGAGGCCCCGGGGGGCAGACTGACTGAGCTCAGGAGTTCATGACCAGCCTGGGCAACACGGTGAAACCCCATCTCTACTAAAATACAAAAAATTAGCTGGGCATTGCGGCAGGCACCTGTAGTTCCAGCTACTTGGGAGGCTGAGGCAGGAGAATTGCTTGAACCCGGGAGGCGGAGGTTGCAGTGAGCCAACATTGTGTCACTGCACTCCAGCCTGGGTGACAGAGCAAGACTCTGTCTCAAAAACAAAACAAAACAAAACATGTATATTTTTGGTAATATAGGGATAGGAATCTCTCTCTCAAATTAACTTCATTTGTTTTATTTTCAGCTAACTGACCTGGGCCACTCAACATGGCTTTTATCATTCCTGATATTAGCACATGTTCTATTTTTACAATACATTCCTGACCATCAGAAGGTATCAATTAGACATGCATGGCACCAGGGACTTCACAGCCACTATAGGCTTTCTCCTCTCCATCCATTATGTTCTAATGAAATTCTACTTTGCTTCCCCAGGAACTTTAGTGGTTTCCTGGTGAGGTGGGGATGCAGAGTCTGTCACTCTATTCTGTCTGAAGGAAGTCAGGAATGGGATTTTAAACCTGTTTAATTTAATTAATTATTATTATTTTTTAAGCAGATGAGGTCTCACTATGTTGCCCAGGCTGGTCTTGAGCTCCTGGACTCAAGCAATCCTCCTGCCCCAGCCTCCAAAAGTGCTGGGACAACAAGCATCAACCACCATGTCCAGCCTTATTTAATTTTGTACTGTATAGATAGGTATAAATGTAATTCATATAACATACAACTCACTGTTTAAATATGCACAATCCTGTGGCATGTCGAACGTCCACAAGGTTATGCAACCCTTCCCATTACCTGCTTCCAGAACATTCTCATCACCCCCCCAACACTGAAAAACTTTTTTATCTATTAGCAGTCACTTCCATTTCCCATCCCCATAACCCCTAGCAACCACTAACCTGCCTTCTGTCTCTATGGATTTTCTGATTCTGGACATTTTATATAAATGGAATCCTGCAATACATATTCTTTTGTGACTGGCTTCTTCCACTTAGTGTAAAGTTTTCAAGGTCCATCCATGTTGTAGCATGTATCACCACTTCATTCTTTTTTATGGATGAAGAATATTCCATTGCATTGATGTACCACATTTTATTTACCCATTCATCCTACTGAATTTTAATTAGTTTAAGTTTAAATTTAAATGGCTATGTGTGGCTAGTGGCTACCATATTGGTTAGTGAAGATCTAGTACAAGAGGGGTAGGCGTGTCAAAATTGGTAGACTGCCAAGATGTTAGGTTTGGTTTGGTTGACCATCTCTTGTTTTCTTTGTGTACCTGTACACCAAATGGGAGTGACGGATGGCTTCCTCCCAGCCCTGACATTCCAAGACTCTATATAATTTTTTTTATGGACTAACTCCTTGCCCATAATGTAGAATGTTGGATTCTGGGTAGAAAATATGTGTTTTCAGGACACCCAAATTTGTCTGAGCTGTTTAAAGCTGTATCTTGGCTGGATACATGGGAGAGGTACTGAGGGTTCTCTCAAGTTTATTCTCTTCTTGATGGTTTAGGTGCTGTCTTTGGGGGTGTGGGGAGCATTACTTTTTCCTGTAGGTCCATGAGATCCAGATTACCTTGAAGACCTTCTTGGCCCAGGTCCTGAAAGCCTCTTCCTGCCCACAGAGCTCATCCCCTTCCCTCATCTTCAGGATCCTCTCCCCTCCCAGTTCTTCCAGGAGGGTGTCCACAGCGTGTCCGAAGGCGCAAAAGTGAGGGTATGCTCGTGAGCCGAGGCCAAAAACTGAGAACCTGTCAAGGAGATGACAGAATGTTCATGCTAAGGGACTGTGGGGAATGTGGGGAGTGTCTGGTGTAATGGGCTAAACTGTGTCCCCCCAAATTTCATATATTAAAACTCTAATCTCCTCACAATTGTATTTTGAGATAGGGCCTTTAAGGGGTAATTAAGGTTAAATGAGGTTATAAGGGTAAAGCCCTGATCTGATAGGATTAGTGTCCTTATAAGAAGAGGAAGAGCCTGGCTAACACGGTGAAACCCCGTCTCTACTAAAAGTACAAAAAATTAGCCGGGCATGGTGGCAGGCGCCTGTAGTCCCAGCTACTTTGGAGGCTGAGGCAGGAGAATGGTGTGAACCCGGGAGGCGGAGCTTATAGTGAGCCAAGATAGCGCCACTGCACTCCAGCCTGGGTGACAGAGCGAGACTCCGTCTAAAAAAAAAAAAAAAAGAAAAGAAAAAGAAAAGGAAGAGACACCAGAGTGCTCTCTCTCTCTCCTCTCTCTCTAGCTCCCTCTCTCTCTCTCCCTCTTTCCTTTCTCTTTCTCTCTCTGGACATAGCAAGAAGGTGGCTATCTGCAAGCCAGAAAGAGAGACCTCACTAGAAAGCAACGCTGCTAGCACCTTGATCTTGGACTTGTGGCTTCCAGTACCATGAGAAAATAAATTTCTATTCTTTTTTTTTTTAAATTTATTATTATTATACTTTAAGTTTTAGGGTACATGTGCACCATGTGTAGGTTAGTTACATATGTATACATGTGCCATGCTGGTGTGCTGCACCCACTAACTCGTCATCTAGCATTAGGTATATCTCCCAATGCTATCCCTCCCCTCTCCCCCCACCCCACAACAGTCCCCA
This sequence comes from Homo sapiens, assembly GCF_000001405.40. Lineage (NCBI taxonomy): Eukaryota > Metazoa > Chordata > Mammalia > Primates > Hominidae > Homo > Homo sapiens. Next base: position 117,248,372 of record NC_000012.12, read on the forward strand.
GAGTGTGATGTTCCCCTTCCTGTGTCCGTGTGTTCTCATTGTTCAATTCCCACCTATGAGTGAGAATATGCGGTGTTTGGTTTTTTGTTCTTGAGATAGTTTACTGAGAATGATGATTTCCAATTTCATCCATGTCCCTACAAAGGACATGAACTCATCATTTTTTATGGCTGCATAGTATTCCATGGTGTATATGTGCCACATTTTCTTAATCCAGTCTATCATTGTTGGACATTTGGGTTGGTTCCAAGTCTTTGCTATTGTGAATAATGCCGCAATAAACATACGTGTGCATATGTCTTTAAAGCAGCATGATTTATAGTCCTTTGGGTATATACCCAGTAATGGGATGGCTGGGTCAAATGGTATTTCTAGTTCTAGATCCCTGAGGAATTGCCACACTGACTTCCACAATGGTTGAACTAGTTTACAGTCCCACCAACGGTGTAAAAGTGTTCCTATTTCTCCACATCCTCTCCAGCACTTGTTGTTTCCTGACTTTTTAATGATTGACATTCTAACTGGTGTGAGACGGTATCTCATTGTGGTTTTGATTTGCATTTCTCTGATGGCCAGTGATGGTGAGCATTTTTTCATGTGTTTTTTGGCTGCATAAATGTCTTCTTTTGAGAAGTGTCTGTTCATGTCCTTTGCCCAATTTTGATGGGGTTGTTTGTTTTTTTCTTGTAAATTTGTTTGAGTTCATTGTAGATTCTGGATATTAGCCCTTTGTCAGATAAGTTGTCTGTCAGTTCTAGAATTACAGCCAATACCACTCAGTCTGTGGTATTTTGTTATGACAGCCTGAACTAATATATCTGGTATCTCAAGAAGAACAGTGTTTAGCTGTTGGTGGTCAGGCAACCCCAAGCTCATCTGTGGAAGGGCACTTGAAACCTAAGGGCTCTCAAGGGTTTCTCTTCGTTTCTTTTGGTCTCTTCTAAGTATCGCCATCATCAGGAGAATATTCTAATTGGTTCTAAGGAGGACGAGTTAGGGACAGCAATGACCTGGAACCACTGGTTGTTTCTTGCATGCTTCTAAGCTGGACCAATTGGGGAAATTAGTCTATGTTAGTGGAAGGCTTGAATTCTACAAGTGACATAACTAGATTAGTTTTAAATATGAAGATAATGAAACTATAATATAATGGTCCTCAGGGACTTGTATTAATGAAAAGACCAGAAGAAATTGTCATCAACACATCAAACAGGTTCTTCTAAAAGGGAATGAAATAGTTATAAGTATTCTGGTTCCATTCCTTGTAAGGTCTATGAAATTAATTTGCTTCACAGACCCTCTGTGCATAGACGCCACCAAGAAAATATTGGTGCTTGAACCAGTGGGGTCAAATTCATGAGCTATTTCTCTATGTTGAGGTGGGGACACTTTGACTGAAGTATGGAAAATGGAGGGCTGTGTCCTAGATGGCTCCTGTAGGGCTGGTACACAGTCCTTCAGACACTTTCTGCTACATTTCCAGAACTTGGTCTTGGCTGTAGGTCTAGACCTCACAGGGACAGGAACAACAGCTTCACCAATGGGACAAATACACCCCACCTTGCCCCACTTTTTAAGGTCAGAGTGTTCTGCTGTAGACTGTCACCTCAGATAAACCATGGAGTGGGGCTACTTAACCTACTCCATACAGGATCAGGCCCTGCCCCTGAATCTCTTTTTTAGGACGATGGGGACAAAATGGTAACAGATTGAGATGGGAAGGAAGGAAGAAGGTAGGAGAAGTTGGAAAGGCACCCTCCATCATTGGAGTATGAACTTGGGGTGGGTCCAGGTGCCTCACAGGTGTAAGTTAATGTAGGTTAATATCCACTCCCCTCAAATCTACACTCATATTGTAACATTTCATCTTCCTCTTCTTCCTTGCCCTCCTTTCCCCAGAATTCCAGAGCCTTTCCAAATAAAGTATGTGGGATTAGATAGCATTTTGCCATTTACTTTTTTTTTTTTTTTTTTTAGACAGAGTTTTGCTCTTGTCACCCAAGCTGAAGTGCAGTGGTGTGATCTTGGCTCACTGCAGCCTCTGCCTCCCAGGTTCAAGTAATTCTCCCGCCTCAGCCTCCAGAGTAGCTGGGATTACAGGCCCCCATAACCACGCGTGGCTAATTTTTGCATTTTTGTTAGAGATGGGGTTTCACCATGTTGGTCATGCTGGTGTCGAACTTCTGACCTCAGGTGATCCACACACCTTGGCCTCCCACAGTGCTGGGATTACAGGCGTGAGCTGCCGTGCCCAGCCTGCCATTTACTCTTAACCAATGATCTTCCTGGATCTAAAAACATTACCCTTTTCTTGCAGGGTGGCGGCCTGACAGGTAGACAGAGATGGTGACTGGGTGTGGACTGACTGGAGGGGTGACAGGAAAGGGAAACCCTACCCAAAGCCACCTGCCTCAGCCTTAGCCCAGTGCAGATCTGGGAACTTCCAGCACTAGTCATGCCTTCTGGTTAAGGTGTTGTTTCCTGAATCTCTGTGATTTATGTTTGTGATGTCTGCCATATTCAATTACCGCTGACACTGTCAATCACTCATTTGTGTTTTTGAACTTGCTTTTAATTTTTCCTCACTAGCTCATCACTCCTATGGTCTGAATGTTTGTGTCTCCCCCAGATTCATAGGTTGAAACCTAACCCCCAATGTCATGGTATTAGTGGCCTTTGGGAGATGATTAGGTCATGAAGGTGAAGCCTCATGAATGGGGTTAGTGCCTCTTAAGGGGCTGAAGAGATCAGAGTTCTTCCCTTCTGCCATGTAAGGACACAGCTGGAAGGCACCGTCTATGAGCCAGAGAGAGGGCCCTCACCAGACACTGAATCTGCTGGCACCTTGATCTTGGACTTCCCAGCCACTAGAACCGTGAGAAATAAATTTCTGTTGTTTACAAGCCACCAGTTTATGGTATTTGGTATAGTAGCCCCAATGGACCAAGGCTCCCAACTCTTGTGTTCACCAACAGATGATGATTCAGGCGGTTGATTCATTAATATTCTTCTTGGTGGGCCTGAGGACCTAGACTACAGTTACTTCTAGTCACATTTCCATCACAATCTTCAGCTTATGATTTCAAGGAATGTAGTAGTAGCGTGATCATGGCTCACCATAGCCTTGATCTCCTAGGCTCATGCAATCCCCCCACCACAGCCTCCCAAGTAGCTGGGACTAAAGACATGTGCCACTATGCCCAGCTAATCAATTAATTTTTTTCATTTTTTTTTTTTTTTGTAGACACAGGGTCCCAATATGTTGCCCAGGCTGGTCTTAAACTCCAGGGCTTAAGTGATCCTCCCACCTTGGCCTCCCAAAGTGCTGGGATGGTAGGTGTGAGCCACTGTGCCTGGTCTTGGCAAACTTTTTTTTTTGAGACAGGGTTTTGCTCTATCGTCCAGGCTGGAATGCAGTGGCGCCATCTCGGCTCACTGTAACCTCTGCCTCCCAGGCTCAAGCGATCTTCCCACCTCAGTCTCCAGAGTAGCTGGGACCACAGGTGCATGCCACCATGCCCAGCTAAGTTTTTATATTTTTGGTGGAAACAGGGTTTTGCTATGTTGCCCAGGCTGGTCTCAAACTCCTGAGCCCAAATGATCTGCCTGTCTTGGCTTCCCAAAGTGCTGGGATTACAGGCATGAGCCACTGTGCCCGGCGTTGGCAAACTTTTTATATGTGGGGGTCAGACAGCAAATATTTTTAGGCTTACAGGCCAAGAAGCAAAATTGAAGCTATTACGTAGGTACTTACAAAACAAGAAAGAAAACAAATTCCTGAACATTCTCAATTGATAAAATTAAAAACATAATAATAACAATTAAGCATACTTTAACACAGGTCTACTATGAGAAGACTGGAATTCATTTTTTGGGAGAGAATAATAACATTTTCTTTATTCGGGTTCAAAGGTAATGTTTTCTACCATCAAACTAATTACAAATGTTCATTGGTAAGAAAACCATTATTAGCTCATGGGTTGTAAAAAATATGCAGTGACCAGGCTGGATTTGGCTCACAGGTGTTAGTTTGCCAGCTCCTGCCATGATAGATTTAATAAGGGAAAAATGGGTCTGACTGTCAAACTCCAGAACTGACGTTTCAGTGTTGAGCTGAAAAAAGTACTGATGTCAAAACCTATAGAATGTTCAACACCAAGAGTGAACCCTAAAGTAAACTATGGACTGTGGCTGATAATGATGTGTCATTGTAGGTACATCAGTTCTAACAAACGCACCACTCTGGTGTGGGATGCTGATAGGAGGAGAGACTGTGAGTGTGTAGGGACAGGAGGATGTGGGAACTCTCTGTACTTTCTGCTCATTTTGCTGTCAACCTAAAATTGCTTTAAAACGTAAAGCCTATTTTAAAATGTCCTGGAGGACATAACAGATATTTCAATAGCTAGCAAACCAGTGATCTATATCATCTACTACGCATTGCTCTGAGTAATTACGGAGAAGGCTCAGTTAGCGAAGGTCTGAGAGATTTGTGGCCAGGCCTGAAGGTTCTTCCTACAGGGCAACTCACATCAGTCTTGTCTTGATCAATATCCACGAAACCAAGGGTTTGACATCCCTGTTTTCTTTCCTTCCAAGAACCCATTAAACTGAATACACAACTATTGTAATATAAAATATCTGCCCACGTGCTTCCTAAAATTATCTCATAGTATGTGACTACGCCATGAGATAATGTGAGGTTAGGGCAGTATTTGTCAAATCTGACTGCACGTTAGAGTCAATTGGAGAGACTTAAAGAAAAAAGCAACACATGGGCCCAATTCTAGATCAATTCCATCGGAATCTCTGGAGATGGGTCTTGGTTATTGTATTAGTACACTGCAAACCTCTCTAGGTGGTTTTGAGGAGCCTCCAGGATTGGGAACCACTGGGTCATAGCAGGGTGTCTACAGAAGCTTCTATGAAGTATACACCGTAGCTATTGGGAAGGGCAGCTCATTGAGCAATATCCAGGGATTGATATCCTTCAGCACAAACAATGGGGTGAACCTTGGGTAATGGGGCTCTGAGGGAGTGTGTATATGAAAAGAAGTCACAGAAAGGATAAAAAATGGTGCACGGGGAGACCAGGCAATGTGACTTAATGGGTGGGAGGGGTCCCAGACAGCCAGGATGCAGCTGGTTTTATGAGAAATGAATGGACACTACCTCTCCACAACGAAGCGCTCACTTTGTAAGTAGGTCAAGCTCCCCAGGAGCCTTAGTCTTCCCTGACCCCCGACCCCCTTATCCCCTTGCTCACCTCACATTGGCCAGGGGTCCAGCACTCTCAAAGTTGTCTCTGAGGTCGGGCCCATCGCCTGATGATTTTTGGGAGTCAGAGTAGGAGGAGACGCTGTTGAATCGGACCTTGTAGCTCCTGCCAAAACCAAAGAGAACCTGTGAGCTCTGGCCTGGAGCTCCCTCCTGAGGTCAACACCCTTGATGGATCTTCAAGTGACCAGTCCTGATTCTAGGGCCTTCTCTTGTATGTTGAGTCAAACCATAACACTCCCATGGCCTCTTCTATAATCTACCAACTTACCCTTGTCCACCACAGTGGTAACTGTTCATCTGCACTTGGTCTTAACTGGTACTAAAAAGGTTTCTGGCCATGCTTAACTCAGGAAACCTGAGACCCATAAAGTTAAAATGATTTAATCAGTAAGAAGTCAGGAACAGAACTAACTACTCCCCTAAACCATGAGACCATGCTCCCTTGTTTCTAAAAAAAAAAAAAATTTTTTTTTGAGACAGAGTTTCACTCTTGTCGCCTGGGCTGGAGTGCAATGGCACGGCCTCGTCTCACTGCAACCTCTGCCTCCTGGGTTCAAGTGATTCTCCTGCTTCAGCCTCCCAAGTAGCTGGGATTACAGGCATGTGCCAACATGCTCAGCTAATTTTGCATTTTTAGTAGAGACGGGGTTTCACCACATTTGCCAGGCTGGTCTCAAACTCCTGACCTTAGGTGATCCACCTGCCTCGGCCTCCCAAAGTGCTGGGATTACAGGTGTGAGCCACTGCACCTGGCTGTTTCTCAAATTTTAATGTGTACAAGAATCATCCTGGGATTTCATTAAAATGCAGATTCTGATTAAGTAGTTCTGGGACCTGGCTTGGGGTTCTGCATTTCTAACGAGCTCCCAGGAGATGCCAGTGTCTCCAGACTTCATTTTAAGTAGCTAGAAACTAGACCATGCTGTCCAAGATGGCAGCCATTGGCTAAGTGTGGCTATCTAAAGTTAAATTAATTTGAGTTAAATACAAGTCAATGTGGTTGGTACACTGCAAACCTCCCTAGGTGATTCTGATGTGCATTCAGCTTTGAGAACCACTGGGTCATAGCAGGGTGTCACTTGCACCAGCCACATTTCAGGGGCTCCGGAGCCACGTTTGGTTAGTGGCTGCTATAGTGGACAGCACAGATATAGAACATTTACATCTCTCTAGAAAGTTCTTCTGGACAGTGCTGGAGTATCCCATTCAATACTGTCCTTCCATAAAGTTATGGTCCTTAGACATTTCAGGGCTCTATCAAATTTCACATTTCAAGTAAATATGAACAATGTTCAGCACTGACGCCTGGCATGGAAAGAGACTGCATTTTTTAAATTAATACCTAATGCTAAATGACGAGTTAATGGGTGCAGCACACCAGCATGGCACATGTATACATATGTAACTAACCTGCACATTGTGCACATGTACCCTAAAACTTAGAGTATAATAATAATAAAATTAAAAAAATAAATTATTTGGAAGGTGAAGGAAGATGTCTTTGGGACTCAAATCTCAGCATGAGAGGCTCAGGAACCTTGATATTAAAAAAAATCCAATTTCTCCGTTTTCCTCCAAAAATGGTAAGTTGTGCTCTCAGGCAAGGCAAAACAAAACAAAGCAAACAGAAACAAACAAAAAATCTGAGACCAAACAAACAAGCAACCAAAACTCCAAAACAAAACCCAAAACTCAAGAAGCAAACCCAACACACAAATCTAATTACAAAAAATTAAAAAGAAATGAGAAAATTAAAAAAAGAGAGAAAAAGAAGAAAAGAAATTGTGCATTCTAGCAGCAGGGTTTCTAAGCTGGATGTTCTTTAAAGTTTTCGCTCCAGCATCAGGAAAGTTCTAAATATATGTAAGTGTATTTTCTGCCCTAAAATAGTCTCACATTGAGTCATGCAATATATCAGGGGGTGGCTGTGTTGTTAGTGTGGGAGGAATGGTTGATGGTTGTGGGTAAAAATAACAGCACGTGCATTTGTATGAGGTTGGAGGTTTTTTCAAATGCTTTCCTTTTTGTTATTACCCTTTGACCCTGCCAATAGGCCACAGAAGTGGGTAGGGCAGAGCTAATTTCTCCCCATTCGGCAGATGAGAAAGACCAAGGCCCACAGGGGTTAAGCGACTTGCTCAAGGTCACTTAGTGAGTTAGTGACACAGCTCAGGTTAGAACTCGGATCTCCTTGAGACCTAGATGTGTGGCCTGGGATGCTCAGGCATTGGGTGTGCATGCATACACTCGCACACACCTGCGTGTACACACATGCACACTCTACCTGTGCTGGCTGTCACGGGCTGCAGCCAGACCGTGGACTTCTGTGTCACCATTGGGGAGGGGAGGCCCTTTACGGGGAAAGAAACGCAAGGGTTCCGGGTACCTAGAGGGGAGAATCGATGGTGCCCTATCTCTCCCTGAAGGAGGGGTGAGAGGGAACCTGCTGGGAGGCCATCTAGGATGGGGTGGGAAGGAGAGAGGTAAGGAGAGTGAGGACTAAGATGCTGGAGTTGGGCGTAGAACGAGGGCTGACCACAAAGGACTCAGCAACGGTCAGTCTCCTGGGTATCAAACTTATGTGAATACGGCAGCATGTTCTCTGCACAAAGAAAATCAGAAGGGATTTTCTGTTTTTTTTTTTTGAGACGGAGTCTCACTCTGTCACCCAACCTGGAGTGCAGTAGCGCAATCTCGGCTCACCGCAACATCTGCCTCCCAGGCTCAAGTGATTCTCCTGCCTCAGCCTCCTGAGTAGCTGGGATTACAGGTGCACTCCACCATGGCCAGCTAATTTTTATGTTTTTAGTAGAGACGGGTTTCACCATGTTGGCCAGGCTGGTCTCGAACTCCTGACCTTAGGTGATCCTCTCGCCTCAGCCTCCCAAAATGCTGGGATTACAGGCATGAGCCACTGTGTCTGGCCTCAGAAGGGATTTTCTGCTTAACACAGCCAAAAAACACCAGCCAGCTAGAGCATTTGATGTTCACCTTAAGACACAGGGATCTGCTTGCTCCATGCTGGAGCAAATACTGAGTTGGCCTCATGGAAAGGCAGCTCAGCGTGCACACACCATGTGTCCTATACCTTATGGGGGATGCAAGGGCTTTTCAAGGGTCATTAACAAAAATTTTTTTGTCATGGTGCGGTGGCTCAGGCCTGTAATCCCAGCACTTTGGGAGGCTGAGGCAGGCAGATCACCTGAGGTCAGGAGTTCGAGACCAGCCTGGCAAACATGGTGAAAGCCTGTCTCTACTAAAAATACAAAAATTAGCCAGGCATGGTGGTGTGTGCCTGTAATCCCACCTACTCGGGAGGCTGAGGCTGCAGAGTCGCTTGAACCCAGGAGGCGGAGGTTGCAGTGAGCTGAGATCGTGCCATTGCACTCCAGCCTTGGTGATAACAGCGAAACTTCATCTCAAAAAAAATTTTTTTATTTTTATTTTTTAGAGACAGGGTCTTGCTCTGTTGTCTAGGCTGGGGTGCCGTGGTATAATTATGGCTCACTGTAGCCTCAAGCCCCTGAGCTCAAGTGATCCTCCTGCCTCAGCCTCTGGAGTAGCTGGGACTTCAGGTGCACACTACCATGCCCAGCTAATTTTTAATTTTTTTGTAGAGATGGGATCTTGCTATATTGCCCAGGCTGGTTTGAACTCCTGGCCTCAAGCAATCCTCCTGCCTCAGCCTCCCAAAGCACTAGGATTATAGGCATGAGCCACCGTGCCCAGCCATCAATGGTAAGTTTGATTAGATGCTTTTTTACTTTACCAAATACCTTTAGAACTCAATCCCACATTAGATGCGGTTCCATTACAAACATATTTTTGACTACAGGTATGTTTTGTCTTACAAGGTATCTTATCTTTTGAACTCAACTTCTAGATTAGCTGCAACTTCACTGTGAGCATCAGACAGGAAGCTTTTAAGGAAAGAAGTTCCATTCTTTGATTTTAGCTTTTTTTTTTTTTTTTTTTTTTTTTGACAGGTCTGGCTGTTCAGGCTGGCCTCAAATTCCTGGGGCCAAGTGATCCTTCTGGCTCAGCCTCCAGAGTAGCTGAGACTATAGGTGTGCACTACCATGCCTGACTGCCTTGCACTGATTTTGAATGTAGGTTCTCAAAGAGGGAAAAAGAATAATATTTACACAGTGCTTTTTTTTTTTTTTTTTTGAGATGGAGTTTTGCTCTTGTTGCCCAGGCTGGAGTGCAATGGTGCGATCTTGGCTCACTGCAACCTCCTCCTCCCAGGTTCAAGCGATTCTCCCGCCTCAGCCTCCCGAGTAGCTGGGATTACATACATGCGCCACCACGCCCGCCTAATTTTTGTATTATTAGTAGAGATGGGGTTTCACCATGTTGGCCAGGCTGGTCTCGAACTCCTGACCTTGTGATCCATCTGCCTCGGCCTCCCAAAGTGCCGGGATTACAGGCGTGAGCCACCACGCCCAGCACACAGTGCTTTTACATCTAGTTTGTGATTTGATTCTTACTAATTAGAAAGTCAAGGTAGGTGCTATAATCTCTATTTGATAGAAAAGGAAACTGAGGCACAAGGCTGTGAAGTGACCCAGATACCAAAATATTTGCCCCAGTAGACTGCAGACACCTCACAACTAAGACCCATTACAAATGGACTTCAGATTACAGCCACCATCCAGAACTCAAATGTGAACCCCAGGTGCCAAAAGTCAATGTCCAGTTACCCTCGGGGGTGGCGGGTGACGTCGGAGGGGTCATTCACTTACTTCCTTTCTTCCTGCACAGAGTTGGGGTGCCTCATTTCCATCAAAGCACAGCCGAATTTCTGGAAGCCAAAACATATGGGTGAAATTAGCACATCTTAGTAAATGGGAAATCAGGTCGGATACTGAGGGTCTGGGGTCCTGGCTGTCAAAGAGGAGACTGATGCCCGGAGGCCAGGATGTCAGGAGCGGTCAGGGGCTCAGGCTGGACAGTAATGCCTGGGCTACAGACGCAGTGGATACACCTGCTGTTTAAATGACTACAGGTGTGGACTCCCTACCCCCAGCACACAACTTCCCGTTGGAGCCTTCCTTCTATAAAAATATTGTCCCCATGTTCCTCATCTACATCAGGGAACATCAAGCTAATGATAGGAGCAGCCACTGCAAACAAATAGCTCACTTAGGTGACAATATTTTCACCAGGGACTTGCTAACTAATGGACGCCAGTAGACTGAGTACTTGGAATTGTCCAACCTTTGTATAACTTGGATCCAAATGGAAATTACTGGCTTTCAGGCTCTGGGAGGGTTTGCTACTGAATAGCAGGTGTAGGAAGAGTCTCAACCTTGGCCCCTACTTCTTCCTGATGATGGAACCACACTCTTGAACAGGTAAAAGCTCATCTCACCTCCCCATTCTCAGGGGGATCTCCATTGCCAAAGGTGCTGGTGACCACAAGGACCAGAGTTTCATGTTCCAGGTGCACAATGTCATATTCTTCCATGGACATCACCTAGGTGGGCAGGGCACAGGTATAGGATGGGGAGAGGAAGAAGGGGATGAGGAGAGAAAAGAGGTGGGAGAGACAAAAAGTGATGGGGGAAGGGCAAGAGGAGAGAAAGGAAAAATGTGAGTCATTTTGGGTCATCTCCTTTGGAAGGAGAACCAAAAGATCTGAGGTGTTAGTACTTCAGTGGGCTCAAGTGGGTAGAACTAAACGCTTTTTGGTAGCGTGGGACCTTGCTATGGTCACTGTGGCCTGAAGGGTTGTGGAGAATCTGAAGCAATGGTTCAAGGGATTGGCAGATACTAGAAACACAGCTTGATGGAATCCCATGGGATTCTTATAGTCAATTGGTCTTGGATTCTTCCTGACCCCAGTTAGGCCGGGAATGATCTGGCTAGAGCTGACTAAGTCTTCTCAACCTCCTCTCTAATCCTCCCCCGAGCAGTGTGGAGCACCTGGCCAAACAAGTCTGAGATATCTGCCTTCTGGAAAGATGATTGCCCTGTGTCTCATCATCGTCTGAGCAACATTTCTCAAAATAGGTTCTAGAAAATCCCAGTCTCCTGAGATGCTCCATGAAAACAAGCGATCCACGATCAAACATGTTTGGGAAACGTCTATATTCTATCCTCGCCTCTTTTGGAGATTAGAACACATGCTTATAGATTACAGGCTCTGGGAAGTCCTGCCACAGCAATGAAAACCATCGAGCTGGCCGGGTGCGGTGGCTCACGCCTGTAATCCCAGCACTTTGGGAGGCCGAGGCGGGCGAATCAAGAGGTCAGGAGATCGAGACCATCCTGGCTAACACAGTGAAGCCCCGTCTCTACTAAAAACACAAAAAATTAGCCGAACGTGGTGGTGGGCGCCTGCAGTCCCAGCTACTCGGGAGGCTGAGGCAGAAGAATGGCGTGAACCCGGGAGGTGGAGCTTGCAGTGAGCCGAGATCGCGCCACTGCACTCCAGCCTGGGTGACAGAGTGAAACTCCTTCTCAAAAAAAAAAAAAAACAAAAAACAAAAAAACAAAAAAACAAAACCAAAAAACCATCGAGCTGTACTTCAGGCAAAGCTTCCCAAACTGACCTCAGAATGGTTTCTTATAAACCCTCTAACATTTTGCTCTAAAGAGGGGAATTTCATTTTGTGACTCCTGGACTCATGGGGACAGGGATATCACAGTCCCCTGAAATTTATGCAAATGTGTATGTGAGCTGATAGGCCCTGTCAGGTGTGCTTTCATCCTTTGCCAAAGGCTTCTTCTCTGTTGACTTCCCTCTCTCCCCTTCCTGCCTTAATTCACCATGAGAAGCTGGTGGAGCTAGGGCTACCCCCCACCTACCTTGGCATCAAAGGCGTGTTTGAAGATCTCACACAAGGTCTTGGCATAAGCTTGCGATTTGCCTGTCTCTGTGGCATAGAGGATGGTCGCTTTCACCCTCTTGGCCATAGCCTGCCCCATCAGCTTGGCCGAGAACTTGACAGCTCTGGAGGGAAGAGGATGGAGATGAAAAATGGGCAACAGAAAAGGGGAGAGAAGATGCTGGATTGGGACTTTCGTGCAAGAACCAGGATCCATGAAATATAACAGAAGAGAACTCTCTTGATCTTTGATGGCTTCAGGGGTTTCCTCAGAGGCACTTGAAGTCTTTGTGTTTAAGCACCGTATTATTAAAGTATTATTAAATCCTTTATTTTATTTTATTTTTTAACTTCTCTAGAGATAATGCTGGATATTAAATCCTTTATTAAATCCCACCAGAGGCCGGGTGTGGTAGCTCATGCTTATAATCCCAGCACTTTGGGAGGCCGAGGCAGGTGGATTGCCTGAGCTCAGGAATTTGCCACCAGCCTGGGCAACAAGGTGAAACTCCGTCTCTACTAAAATACAAAAAAATTAGCCGGGAGTGGCAGCGTGCGCCTGTAGTCCCAGCTACTTGGGAGGCTAAGGCAAGAGAATTGCTTGAACCCAGGAGGTGGAGGTTGCAGTGAGCCGAGATCGCACCACTGGGCACCACTGCACTCCAGCCTGGGCGACAGAGTGAGACTCTGCCTCAAAAAAAAAAAAAAAAAAAAAAAAAAATCCCACCAGAGCAATTAGTCATGAATTAAAAGGAGTAGTTAGTTTTGTTAGCTTGTTACTTGATTGATCCCAGGCTTAAGAACCTTGGTTTGCCAAGCATTGCCTCAAAAGATGATCGTTCATCCATTTCCTCTCTCTTTCATTCATCAAATATTTATTAAGTGCTTAACTATGTGTCAGTATTGTTATAGGAAATGGAGACCACAGAGAACATAGCTATGGAATGCAGCTGTCATAGGGCTCATATTCTAATGTGTGTGTGTATGCACATGTGTGAATGAGAGAAAGAGAGAGAGAAATGAATCACGAATTAGTCACCAGGCATTGAGTTTGATGGGATTTAGAGGTTTATTGGTCCACAAGGGAAGGACCAGGTCTGATTTATTCAGCAATGCATGTCAAGGGTCTTGCACAGAGCCTGATACCCAACAGGCACTAAATAAATATCTATCAAAAGAAGTTATGGGATGGGCATAGTGGCTCATGCCTGTGATCCTGGCACTTTGGGAGGCTGAGGCGGGAGGATCACTTGAGGCCAAGGGTTTGAAACCAGCTTGGTCAACAGAGTGAGACTTTGTCTCTACAAAAAAGAAATAAAAGAAGTTATGAATTTTAAAAGATGCTGCCACTGAGACCCTGGGAAGTCTGAACATCAAATCCAGCCTCTTTCTAACTAAACAGAGAAGCCCAAACCAGTGTCTCTTCCTTCTGCTCTACTGGGCAGGGCGAGTTCCAGGGGCACTAGCAGACAGGCCAGAGGCTCAGAAATACCCAGGCTCGACTCCTTAACAAGCCTCCCTGTTGTAACTAGAAATCTCAGTGCAGACAAATCGCTAACTTCCCCCCACCTGGGATTATCGGCGTTAAGTTCATTATTTTTTAGAATCAGGGAAACCGCCCACGATGCAGGAAGACTTAGCTAAGGGGAAGAAACAGAAAGGAATAAAAGGTACCTGGAGGGTTCCCTTTGAATAATTTGAGCATAAAGATGCATCTATAATTAATTCCCATTGTTACTACCCAAAACTTAATAGTGTAATTAATGTTTTAGATTTCTCCCTCCCCTTTCCCCCCAGAGACAGTGGAGCTGAACTGAAGCCAACAATTGCCCTCCCTGAGAATATCTGAGATATTCTTGTTAGGGAAATGGTGGCTGCTGATGTGTTCTTGCTTGGCTGGGGGATGGGATTAGGGTGGAAGGAGAGAGAGGGAGGGAGGGAGGGAGAGAGAGAGAGAGAGAGACAGAGAGAGGAGAGGGAGGGAGGGAGAGAAAGGGGGAGGGGGAGAGAGAGAGAGAGAGAAGAGAGAGGAGAGAGAGAGAGAGAGAGATTGATTGATTCTATGGGCTCTATTAATGGAGCCAGGACCTAGGTTTGGGTCCCTGCAAGACCCACCAGTGTCTTGTCTCTGGGGCCCATGGCTTAGATGACACCTGTTGTACAACTAGTTATCATACATAGAGAATTCTGGACCTGAGGGAGCTGAGGAAACAGAGTAGTGTCTTCTGACAAAAAGTTAGCTCCAAACAGTGGTCTTTGGTAAGTGGATCAGTGGGGTTCTCTTTTTTTTGGGGCAGAAGGCTGGCATCCCCGTTAAATCAACTTAGTTAACCCCATCCTACTTGTCAGCTGGTCCTCTGGCTGGTCAGGCATTCTTCAGGAAAATCACTCCTCAGTAGTCTCAGGCCATAACCCCCTTCCTTCCCCTCTTTGCTTAAACTTTCTTAATCTCATTCTTTAGCTCAATTGTCACCTCCTCCAGGAAGCCCTCCCTGACCTCCCAAACTCCGTGAACCATTATTATTTCCAGGAACCATTCCTCGATGGTACCTTCCACAGCTGCCATGTTTACTGTATTTGTTGATTCTTTGACAAAGGAATGGCTGTGAGCTTCATGACAGCAGGGACAGCATTTGTCTAGCTTGCCATGATCCCCCTGAAGCCTCACACAGTGCCTGGCACAGAATCTGAGTAGCTAGAACTACAGGCGTGTGCTGCGACACCCAACTAATGAATGAATGAATGAGTAAATGAATGAATGAGTAAAATTAAGGGTCAGCCCTGAACGAGGGTGCTCTCCAGGCAGTAGTGTGCTGGAGCTGACTAACTCCAGCTCCTCCCTAGTCTGGGTTCAGTGACTTCCTAGGCCAGGTGTAGTGGCTCACACCTGTAATCCTAGCACTTTGGGAGGCTGAGGCAGGAGGATCGCTTGAGGCCAGGTGTTCGAGACTAGCCTGTGCAACAAAGTGAGACGCCTCCAGCCTGGGGAACAGACCCTATCTCAAAAAAGAAAGAAAGAAAGAAAAGAAATTGGTCATAGTGGGAATGTTTACATCATGGAAACTGGCAAACATGAAAATCAAGGTATTACTATTATTATTATTATTATTATTATTATTATTATTATTATTATTATTAGGAGGGCTGGTTCACCAACACACCATTGCCCCCAGGACAAGAATTTAGGAAACCAGTGTGAGGAAAGTGAGGCTGAGAAGGAGAAGAGTTGGAACGACATTCACAGCTCAGACTCAGAGGCAAAGAAGGCCCAGGTGGCTGAAGAAGATGAAGAAATCATATTCTGTAGAGAGGTCAGAGGGCACAGGAGTCTGCCCAGCCTCCTTCTCTGGGTTCTCTGAGTTTGTGGGGACATCCACCCCACCCGCCCACTGCACGAAACTTACTCTGCTAGCTTCTTGAAGCCAATGGCTCGCCGCTTTGTGGGGGTCCCGTTGGTGCCTTTCCAGACATGCGTGTTCCAGGGATCAGGCTGGGAAGAGAAGGAGAGGGCTATGGTCACTCACTGCAGTGAGGGCATCTGGTTCCTGTTGGGGATGCTCAGGACCACCTGGGACTTGTGACTGCCTGACCCTCGGCCTCTGAAGGGAAGAATTCTGCCCAGTGGTGACCACCATGGGGGAAGGGATGCGGGGTTGGGGGGAGGGGGGGGGTCCTTGCCCAGTGGGTGGTCTGGCCTTGGCAGTGTCCTGCTAGCTCTTTCCCCTTGGCCCCCAGTCCCTCTCAAACTCTGTTCTTGTGACCCCTGACTACTCACTCTCATTTCATCCCTCTTTCTCTCTCTTAAGAGACAGGGGTCTCACTCTGCTGCCCAGGCAGGAGTGCAGTGGTGTGATCATAGCTCACTGCAGCCTTGACCTCCCTAGCTCAAGGGATCCTCCTAACTCAGCCTCCCAAATAGCTGGGACTACAGGTATATGCCACCACACTCAGCTAATTTTCTTATTTATTTTCTTTCTTTATTTTCTTTCTTTCTTTCCTTTCTT
Organism: Homo sapiens; assembly: GCF_000001405.40. Lineage (NCBI taxonomy): Eukaryota > Metazoa > Chordata > Mammalia > Primates > Hominidae > Homo > Homo sapiens. The sequence goes on from NC_000012.12 coordinate 117,264,489, forward strand.
TCTCTTTCTTTCTCTCTCTCTCTCCCTTCCTTCCTTTCCTTCCTTCCTTCCTCCCTCCCTTCCCTTCTTCCTTCCTTTCTTCCCTTCCTTCCTTCTTTTCCTTCCTTCCCTCCCTCCCTCCCCTTCTCTCCCTCTCTCTCTCCCTTTCCCCCCTCTCCCTCTTTCCCTCTACACTCTCTCCCTCTCCCCCTCTTCATCCTCCCCATCTCCCCCTCTCCCTCTCCCTTTCCCTCTCTCTCTTTCTCTCTTTCTTTTTGTCCCACTCTTGTTGCCCAGGCTGGAGTTCAGTGGCTTGATATCGGCTCACTGCAACCTCCACCTCCTGGGTTCAAGCGATTCTCTTATCTTGGCCTCTTGAGCAGCTGGCATACGCCAGGCTAATTTTTTGTATTTTTAGTAGAGATGGGGTTTCGCCATGTTGGCCAGGCTGGTCTCGAACTCCTGACTCAGGTGATCCACCTGCCTTGGCCTCCCAAAGTGCTGGGATCACAGGTGTGACCCACCATGCCCAGCCTGCTAATTAAAAAAAAAAAAAAATTTAGAGATGGGGTCTCACTATATTCCCCAGGGTGGTCTCAAACTCCTGGCCTCAAGCCACCTTCCCACCTCAACCTCCCAAATCACTGGGATTATAGGCATGAGCCATCATGTCGGCCTCATATAGTCTCTCTTGTTCTTTCAGCTAGACCTGTGCAATATGGTAGCCACCAGCCACATGTGGCTATTGAGTGTCCAGAGCACTAGCCTGGGTTGAAATGAGCCTAAATGTGACACACACACCAGATACAGGACACTTAATATGAAAAGAGGCAGGGACAGGGAAGGACCTGGTATTCGAAGGAGGGGGTGAGCCGGTAGTTGAGCATCTCCTGGTGGAACACAGGGGTGATGCTTCCGGACATGGGGGGCACGATCCACACCCAGTCGGCAGGGCAGCCCCCCCGGCAGCGGTACTCATTCTCCATGTGCTTAATGAAGGACTCGGTGGCGGAGTGATGGTCAACAATGGTCACTTTGTCACTCTGTGGGAGGAGAGGGGACAGGGGTCAGGAGGTATGAGAAGCTGGGGTATTTTGGGACTCCCTGCCCCAAAGAGCAGCATTTCCCAAAGGGTGGTCCCTGAGATGGTTTAGAGCAGCGTGAAGTGAGATGGTGATTCTCTCTGCATTTCTTGTCCAGTCCTTCCACTTAGACCCAGGAGAAAGTCTTCGTTGGGTGCTATTGTGTCTTTAACACCTTTCGTGTCGATCTTGCCAATCTTCCTCTCTCCCATCCCACCCCCATCTTTTTTTTCTTTCTTTCTTTCTTTTTCTTTTTTTTGAGACGGAGTCTTGCTCTATCACCCAGGCTGGAGTGCAGTGGCGCGATCTTGGCTCACTGCAAGCTCTGCCTCCCGGGTTCACACCATTCTCCTGCCTCAGCCTCCCGAGTAGCTGGGACTACAGGCGCCCGCCACCACGCCTGGCTAATTTTTTTTTTTTTTGTATTTTTTAGTAGAGACGGGGTTTCACCGTGTTAGCCAGGATGGTCTCGATCTCCTGACCTCGTGATCCACCCGCCTCCACCTCCCAAAGTGCTGGGATTACAGGTGTGAGCCACCGTGCCCGGCCTTTTTCTTTTTCTATTTTTTAATTTTTATAGGCTTTTGGGGAACAGGTGGTGCTTGGTGACATGAGTAAGTTCTTTAGTGGTGATTTGTGAGATTTTGGTGCACCCATCGCCCGAGCAGTATACACTGCACACAATTTGTAGTCTTTTATCCCTCACCCCCTTCCCACCCTTTCCCCGAGTCCCCAAAGTCCACTGTGTCATTCTTAGGCCTTTGCGTCCTCGTAGCTTAGCTCCCACTAATGAGTGAGAACATACGATGTTTGGTTTTTCATTCCTGAGTTACTTCACTTAGAATAATAGTCTCCATTCCCATCCAGGTTGCTGCGAATGCCATGAATTCGGTTGGTTCCACATTTTTAGCAATTGCGAATTGTGCTGTTATAAACATGTGTGTGCAAGTATCTTTTTTGTATAATGACTTCTTTTAGGTTTTTTTTTTCTTTTCTTTTTTTTTTTGAGATAGGGTCTCACTCTGTCGCCCAGACTGGAGTGCAGTGGTGCAATCTCGGCTCGCCGCAACCTCTATCTTCCAGGCTCAAGTGATTCTCCTGCCTCAGCCTCCTGAGTAGCTGGGATTACAGGCACATGCCACTACTGCCCGGCTAATTTTTGTATTTTTAGCAGAGATGGGCTTCACCATGTTGGCCAGGCTGCTCTTGAACTCCTGACCTCAAATGATCCACCCTCCTCGACCTCCCAAAGTGCTGGGATTACAGGTGTGAGCCACGGCGCCTGGCTAGTTTTCATTGTTCATCTCAATTACATCCCTGTTGTCTCTGGCTTGACAGACTTCATACCAGTCCATCAGGCCACATGCCACACTCCTGAAACCTCATTCTCCATGGTTAAAGGAGAAGGGAGGTGGCCTCCTTCCCTCTTGCCCTGTCTCAACTTGTCCCTTCCCTTTGACATTCCTCAGTGCACCCACTCCATCCACATCTGACATGGGGACCTATGGCTTCTATTCCTATCCATCCATGGCTTGATTTAACACATTCATTCTGCTGGCTGTGTGTGCCTCTCACGTGCATCTACGGGGGTCTAGCTGCCTAGACTGGAAGCCCCCAGAGGACAGTGATGGTCCCTATTATAGAGAGCAACTTCTAGTTTCTAGATCTCCTGGTTGGCCCAGGAGAATCCTAGTGATGCCCATTGTCCTGGCATAGTTATTACTAGTGTCGCCCTCTGGCTCTCAAAAGTGTTGTGGTGGCCAGGCGTGATTCACGCCTGTAATCCCAGCACTTTGGGAGGCCGAGGCAGGTGAATCACCTGAAGTCAGGAGTTCAAGACCAGCCTGGCCAACATGGTGAAACCCCACCTCTACTAAAAATACAAAAATTAGCTGGGCGCGGTGGTGGGCATCTGTAATCCCAGCTACTCAGGAGGCTGAGGCAGGAGAATTGCTTGGACCCGGGAGGTGGAGGTTGCAGTGAGTCGAGATTGTGCCACTGCACTCTAGTCTGGGCGACAAGAGTGAAACTCCATCTCAAAAAAAAAAAAAAAGTGTTGTGGCTTAGTTGATACATTTTCCAGCCATCCTGCTATAATGCCATTTAGCACAGCCTCATGCATTTATTTAGGAGCCTATATGTCTCTGATGATGTTGAAGAGTATTTGTCTCTGTTATGTGATAGTCTGAGGCCCTAAGAGATGACAAGACAGAGAGGATGCCTCTTGTTTGAATTCTAAAGAACTCTAAGCAACAAGACAGAACACTCCTCTACCCCTGCCACCATTTGTTCATCTCTTCATCAAATGGTCCCCACCCAAGATCCACACTGGAGAGGAGGGCATGCAGGATGGAAGCTAGACCATACTCATGGACACAATCCCCGCAAAGGTGGTTTCTGGCAGTGAGGTCTCTTGATCCTCTGCATCAAGGCTCTGAAAGGTTTGAACTCTCATTTGAAGCTTGACCCTGGTGGTGCGGGCCCTGGTGTTACCTGGAAGCTATAGAGAACCGCGATATTGATCTCCACCAGCGCCTGGTCCTTCCACAGGGAGGACGTCTTCCTCATGTCTAAGTTCATCTTCTTGGCCACTTCCTGAAAGAGGAAGGAAACACAGATATACAGGCTGGGGTATCTCTGGATTTCAGATTGAAGAGGGACAGGGCTAGTGGCGTGAAATAATTTCTTTTCTTTTTTTTTAAATGGACTCTCGCTCTGTCGCACAGGCTGGAGTGCAGTGGTGTGATCTTGGCTCACTGCAACCTCTGCCTCCTGCATTCAAGCGATTCTCCTGCCTCAGCCTCCTGAGTAGCTGGGACTACAGGCTTCTGCCACTATGCCTGGCTAAGTTTTTGTATTTTTAGTAGAGACGGGGTTTCACCATGTTGGCCAGACTGGTCTCAAACTCCTGGCCTCAAGTGATCCACCCACCTTGGCCTCCCAAAGTGCTGGGATTACAGGCGTGAGGCACCTTGCCTGGCCAAGAATTTCTTAATTAATTAATCAACTCATTCACAGACTAATGAACTCACTCATTCAATTTTTTTTTTTTTTTTTTGAGACGGAGTCTTGCTCTGTCACCCAGGCTGGAGTGCAGTGGCACGATCTTGGCTCACTGCAAGCTCCGCCTCTTGGGTTCATGCCATTCTCCTGCCTTAGCCTCCTGAGTAGCTGGGACTACAGGCGGCCGCCACCACGCCGGGCTAATTTTTTTTTTTTTTGTATTTTTAGTAGAGAGGGGGTTTCACCGTGTTAGCCAGGATGGTCTCGATCTCCTGACCTCATGATCCACCCGCCTTGGCCTCCCAAAGTGCTGGGATTACAGGCGTGAGCCACCGCGCCCAGCCTCAAAAATTTTTTATTGATCTGTTGGACTAGGTATGAAATAAAAATGTTAAAAAATTTAAAAAGTTAAAATTTTTATCGAGAACCTACCAGCAGCAGGAAACTAGAGACTCGGCTGGCCCTTTAATTACTAATCTTGTGTTCTAATGGGGAAGAGAGAGATACTTAATACAGTGGTAGGTACTAATTCTTAGGAAGAAAATAAGGAAATGGGATGAAGAGGGATATGGGGGCTGGGCTAATTCAGCTAGGGTAGTCAGGGAAGGCCCACTGTGGAGACAGCATGCAAGGTGAGCCCTAAGTGATGAGAAGAAGCCAGATATTCGCAGATCTGGGGAGAGAGTGCTCTAGGCAGAGGGGGCAGCAAGAGCAAAGCCCTGGGGTGGGATCAGGCTTGGGCTATCTTAGATATGGAAAGAAGACCAGAGGGTGTTTGGAGGGTGGTACATAAGGGGTAATTGGTGGGAGTGAGACAGGACTAGCTGGTGTAAGATCTTGAAAGACATGCCAAGGAGTCAGGATGTTATTCCAGATGTGACGGGCCCAGGGGGCAGGATCTCTGGAGATTTGTTTTTTTTTTTTTTTTTTTTTTAGACAGAGTCTCACTCTGTCGCCAGGCTGGAGTGCAGTGTCGTGATCTCGGCTCACTGCAACCTCCGCTTCCTGGGTTTAAGTGATTCTCCTGCCTCAGCCTCCCAAAGTAGCTGGGACTACAGGTGCACACCATCATGTCCAGCTAAGTTTTGTAATTTTAGTAGAGATGGGGTTTCACCATGTTGGCCAGGATGGTCTCGATCTCTTGACCTCGTGATCCACCCACCTCGGCCTCCCAAAGTGCTGGGATTACAGGCGTGAGCCGCTGCACCCGGCCTCTGGAGCATTTTAACAGAGATGTAGGTCTGTGAGTGCATCATCTGCTTTCTAGCAGGAAAAGCTCTTCATCTATCCTACTCTACCCCCAGAGTGGTCATGACCTAGCATCTAGGCCATGGGTGCTCTGAGCTCATGAGGCCCCTGCCAGACTCCATCTGACACATGGGGAAACTGAGGCTCAGAGAGGTGCCTGGACTTGTCCAACGTCCACAGAACCAGCTAGTCTCAGAGGTGGAGCCCAGGGAGATGCCTAACGTCTAAGACCTTGGAGCTGCTCTCTAAGCAGCTGACGCCTGTGGCAAAATTACTTGCAAAAAAAGAACTCATGACATGCATGTTACAGCCAAGGCAGAAGCAGGAGCTGGTGTCAGGAGCAGGGAAGACCCAATAGCAAGTGCATTAATTAAAGCCCTGCTTTTCACTTCCTCTGTCAATACTAGTCACTGGTGGGAACCCAGGTCTCATTATGGGGCTAAAATGCAGCAATTTCTTTGGTTTGGGTAAACTGCTCCTAGACCCAGCTATCAACGTTTGTACATAATGACAGGTGGAATTGGAGGGTCGGGGTGGGAGAGAGGCTCATTTCAGTTACCCAGAGACTACTCTTTGCAACTGAAATGTAGACAGAGATCAGAGAGCAGACTTATTAACTCACTCTTTGAGGCTGAGGCATTAGTTTCTGCTTGGGGTCTCTATCAGCGACACATTTGTGGGAAGTAAGAAATTTGATGCTGCTTTCCATAAATACATATAAAACTGGAGTGTATGACAGAGGAAAGTATACACACACAGAGGAAAGTATGTATAGAAGAACAATGCTATTGTTATTCTATAGCATTATTTGGTTAAAAGAATAGAAATTAATTGCAGGGAAAAAAGAAACCCTTAAAAAAAATCCCCAAGTGCAACTTGAGCCACATCTAAGAAAACTGCCTGAAACATTTTTTCCTTCCTGCTAGAAGTTTGCACACATTGGTGGTTGTTTAGGCTGGGCGTGGTGGCTCACCCCTGTAATCCCAGCACTTTGGGAGGCCAAGGCGGGTGGATCATCTGAGGTCAAGAGTTCGAGACTAGCCTGGCCAACATGGTGAAACCTCATCTCTACTAAAAATAATAATTAAAAAAATTAGCCAGGTGTGGTGGTGTGTACCTGTAGTCCCAGCTACTTGGGAGGCTGAGACAGGAGAATTGCTTAAGCCCAGGAGGTGGAGGTTGCAGTGAGCCAAGATCGCACCACTGCATTCAAGCCTGGGTGACAGAGCGAGACTCCATTCCCCTACCCACCCCTCCAAAAAGAAAGAAAGAAAAAAGTTTGCATTGCATCAGTGGTTGTCCAGAAGAATCTCCTGGGGAACTTTGCAAAATGCAGATACCCAGGGCCCACCCCAGACCTATGACATCAGAACCCCGATGAATGGGATCCAGGCATCACGAAGCCCCCCAGATACCCTCCGATGTGTGGCAAAGCTGAGGATCCCTGGCATCTGTTTTCCACAGTGATACCGGTGGCTTTTTTTTTTTTTTCTTTGAGATGGAGACTCGCTCTGTTGCCCAGGCTGGAGTACAGTGGCGCAATCTCGGCTCACTGCGACCTCTGCCTCCCTGGTTCAAGCGATTCTCCTGGCTCAGCCTTCTGAGTAGCTGGGATTATAGGCGCAAGCCATCATGCCTGGCTAATTTTTGTATTTTTAGTAGAGACGGGGTTTCACCAAGTTGGTCAGGCTGGTCTCGAACTCCAGGCTGTGATCAGCCTGCCTCGGCCTCCCAAAGTGCTGGGATTACAGGCATGAGCCACCGCGCCCAGCCAACCGGTGGATTTTTAACAGCACAAACCTGATGCTCGGTTCTGGGTTCTAATCTTGGTTCTGTGCCTTAGCTCCTGTGTGACACAGGCCCAGTGCTTAACTTCTCTGTTTCTCAGTGCCCTCTTTTGAAACAAATCCAACAGCAGCAGAGTGTTGTTAGAGACATTTGCTGACAAAAACACAGCAATCATGATGCTTTCACCAAAGTTGGGCTTCAGGAAGCACCGCTCCAGCACTTTTTAGTAGATACGGATGACTCAGCCCGGGAGGGAATCAGACCCTCTGCCGAGAAATGCTTAGAGTGGGGAACCACTGCCAACCCTCCTCCCTTGTTTTTTAGAAAAGACACTAAATATGTCCCGAGTTTGTCAGTCATCCTCAAGCTCTTCTAACAAGATTTAAGACCGAGAGGCAGCGGAGTGGAGTGGTAATGAACTTGGAGCATGAAGTCAAACCAGACACATTTCCCAGCCCTGCTGCCGGCTAGCTGTGTGACCTTGAGCTTGTCATCTGTCGAAGGGGGATTCTCATACCTCAAGGTTCAGGTGAGGATGAAATGAGAATGGAACACAGCAACAGTGCTTCGGATGCTGTTAGCACGTGCTATGTGCTATGTGCGTGTTTGCTGTTATTTTCATTGTTGTTAAAGACATGGATGCCCCTGGCATTTCCAGGGGCTTCTCTGGGATTGCAATTCTATTCTAACCCCTTCAAGTTTCCAAGCCACCAAGCTCGCCGTGGGGAAGGGGACTGCTGAGCTGGCACCCTCTGCTATGTGCTTTTCCCCTGTGGTGACCAGAGAGGGCCCTTACCTCCAGGATATTGTAGCGGGAGTTGTCACAGTAGTCGCGGACACCAATCTCTGTGCCCATGTACCAGCCACTGAAGGGACAGGCGCTGAACTCCAGGCCGCCAATCTCTAGGAGCATGTTGGACACGGCGGGGAGGCCGTACCACTTCAGCCCCAGGTCCTTGAACCACTCAAACCTGCAGGGAGCAACAGGGCCCAGCTCACCCGGAGCAGGTGTCTCATGGGCGGGACAGCTTGAATCTAGAGATGCTGAAATGCCAAGGATGGACTGGGACTGACAAGGTCAGAATATGGTTCCTGGGCCCTGCTTCAGATCTGTGGAATTGCAGGTTCTGCAGCTGGGGGCCTGAGAATGTGCATTTTTAACGTATTTCTCAGGTGCTTCGGATGGATATTCAGGCCTGGAAACTACTGCCTTAGGCTGCTGTTTCTCTCTCAAACCCACCCTGAAAGTGAGTCCAGGAGAAAGTGTGGGGACCTCTCTCCCCCTTCCCCGACTGAGCACCCTCCTACCCTCAGGGCCTTTGCACAGGCAGCCAAACTTCAGAGCCAAACTCTGTCACCCAAACTTCTTCTTTCTTTCTTTTTTTTGGGGGGTAGGGGAATGCAGTCTCGCTCTGTCATGCAGGCTTCCTCCTGGGACCTTCTCCCTTCCTTCTGTGCTTCCAGCTCTTACTCATACTTTAATTGTCAGCTAAAATCATGCTTATTCTGGAAAGCCTTCCCTGAGGCCCAGCTGGTCAGGGGATTTCATCCTAGGCACCATACATTTCCTTTGCAGCACTTTATTAAAATTAAGTGGTTATTTGAGTAATTATGTGTGTAAGAACTTCTCTTCCTTGAGATCATAAGCACCGTGGGGGCAGGGATTGAGTCAGCTCCAAAAGCTAGCACAATGCCTGGCATGCATGGGGAACTGTGTTGGATGAGCCAATAAATGAATGAATAAATATAGGCTACATTTCACCAAGGAACTGGGTGAGTTCCCAGATATCAGGCAGTGTCAGGAGCCTCAGGACACCGGCTCCCTCTCCAAGGCTGGGACTAGGGTGAGGCAGGTGTGGCACTATCCTTGGGTGTAAAATTTAAGTGGGGGGAGCTATTAGGTTGATGCAAAAGTAGCTGTGGTTTTGCAATTACTTTTGCACCAACTGAATAGTTTCCCCCTCTTAAGTTTACTTTTGCCATTAAAAGTAATGGCAAAAACCACAGTTACTTTTTGCATCAACCTAATAAAAACCCAATAATTAGGATCAATGCTATTATTTATTTATACAATATTTTAAAGAAACATTTAAAAAATCAAAATTTATGTATATATATGATGAACAATAATGTAGGATTCCACCCTACACTTGTATGACACCTCGTTCATCTGACCCTAATCTCAGTCCTGAGCTGGATCCTATCTTTATTGAAAATGTTGATATATTGTTCATCATGTGCTGTTTTTTAAAAAAATTAACTTTGAGACCAGAAACTATAAAACTACTAGAAGAAAACATCAGGGAAATTGGTCTGGGAAAAGATTTTATGAATAAGACCTCAAAAGCCCAGGCAACAAAAGCAAAAATAAACACACAGGATTATATTAAACTAACAAACGTCTGCAGAGCAAAGAAACAAGCAACAGAGTGAAAAGACAACCTAAAGAATGGGGGAAAATATCTGAAAACTATTCATCCACCAAGGGATTAATATCCAGAATATACAAGGAACTCACACATTTCAAAAGCAAAAAACCCAAACAATTGGATTAAAAAATGGGCACTTGCTCTGAACAGACATTTCTCCAAAGAAGATAGATAACCAACAAATACAGGAAGAAATGCTCAGCTTCACTCAACATCAGGGATATGCAAACGAAACCCACAATAAGATAACATTTCATCACAGTTAGGACGGCAATTATAAAGAGACAAAAAATAACAAATGCTGGCAAGGTTGCAGAGAAAAGGGAACTCTCATACACTGTTGGTGGGAATATAGGCTAGTACCGGAGTATGCAGAACGGTATGGCAGATCCTCAAAAAACTGCAAATAGAACTACCACGAGATCCAGCAATCCCACCAGTGGGCATTTATCCAAAGGAAAGGAAATCAGGCTGGGCGCAGTGGTTCACACCTGTAATCCTAGCACTTTAGGAGGCCGAGGCAGGTGGATCATTTGAGGTCAGGGGTTCAAGACCAGCCTGACCAACATGGTGAAACCCCGTCTCTACTAAAAATACAAAAACTTAGCTGGGCGTGGTGGTTCGTGCCTGTAATCCCAGCTACTTGGGAGGCTGAGGCAGGAGAATGGCTTGAACCTGGGAGGTGGAGGTTGCAGTGAGCCAAGATGGCGCTACTGCACTCCAGCCTGGGCTGGAGTGACACTCCGTCTCACAAAAAAAAAAAAAAAAAAAAAAGAAAGGACATTAACATGTCAAAGTGATACCTACAACCCTGTGTTTATTGAAGCACTATTCACAGTAGCCAAGATATGGAATCAACCTAGGTGTCTAACAACGGATGAATGGATAAAGAAATGTGTGATATTTTATATATACTGTGTGATATAAAGAAAATGTGTGATATGTTATATATACTGACTACAGTCAATAATAACACAATTGTATATTTCAAAATAACTTAAAGAGTGTAATTTAATTGTTTGTAACTCAAAGGATAAATGTTTGAGGGGATAAATACCCCATTCTCCATGATGTGCTTATTTCACATTGCATGCCCATATCAAAACGTCTTATGTACCGCATAAATATATACACACATATATATATACACCTACTATCTACCCACAAAAATTAAAAGTAATAATTAAAAAAAAACTCTACCAGGTCTGGTGTGGATCAAGTTCAAAAGAAATTTGGAGTCATGAACTCCAAATTAATTCTCTCTCTCTCTCTCTCCCCACACTGGAATACCATTCAGCCATAAAAAAGAATGAAACCATGTCACTCACAGCAACATAGATAGAACTGGAGGACGTTATGTTAAGTGAAATGAACCAGGAACTGAAAGTTAAACACTGAATATTCTCACTCATAGGTAGAAGCTACAAAAAAAGTTGATCTCATGGAAGTAAAAAGTGGAACAGAGGATGCTGGAGGCTGGGAGGAGGAGGGAGAAGGGAGAATGGGGAGTGATTTGTTAAAGGATACAAAATTATAGCTAGAAAGGAATAAGTTGTACTGTTCTACACCACTGTAGGATGACTATAGTTAACATTAATATACATTTTCAAATAGCTAGAAGAAAGGATAGTGAATGTTTCCAATACAAAGGATAAGCGTTTGAGACAATGGGTGTATTAATTATACTGATCTGATCACTATACATTATATGTATTAAAACATCATTATATATCTCATGAATATATGCACTTATTAGACATCAATTAGAAAAATAAAATGAAACATTAATTTTGATTTAAAAAATATTGCATTCTTATATTTATCTTATTATCGAGTGTGTTAGCAACTCCCCTTGATTTTATTCATTCCCAGGTTTGAGTCTAGTGCCTCACGGTGGATGTCCTTTACTCTCAAAGGGCAAATGCTGTTTGTGTTGCTGGCCCGAGACCTTGCAGCAACTTCATGACTCCAAATTCCTTTTGAACTTGATCCACACCAGGTTCTGTAGAGTTTTTTAATTATTATCTTTAATTTTTGTGGGTACATAGTAGGTGCATGTACTTATGGGGTACATGAAATGTTTTGATACAGGCCTGTAATGTGAAATAAGCACATCATGGAGAATGGGGTATCCATCCCCTCAAGCAGTTATCCTTCGAGTTACAAAGAATCCAATTCCACTGTTTATTTTAAAACATACAATTATGTTATTATTGACTATAGTCACCCTGTTGTGCTATCAAATAATAGGTTGTATTCATTCTTTCTAACTATTTTTTTTTTGAGATGGGGTCTTGCTCTGTTGCCCAGGCTGGAGTGCACTGGCACAACTTGGGCTCACTGCAACCTCTGCTTCCCAGGTTCAGGTGATTCTCCTGCCTCAGCATCCCAAGTAGCTGGGATTACAGGCATGTGCCACCATGCCCAGGGAATTTTTGTATTTTTAGTAGAGATAGGGTTTTGCCATGTTGGCCAGGCTGGCCTTGAACTCTTGACCTCAGGTGATCCTTCTGCTTCGGCCTCCCAAAGTGCTGGAATTACAGGCGTGAGCCACCATGCCTCTATTTCTTTCTTCTACCTCTTAACCGCCCCCATCTTCCCCTCACCCCCTCCACTACCCCTTCCCAGCCTCTGGTAACCATCCTTCTACTCTTTATGCCCATGAGCTCTATTGTTTTCATTTTTAGATCCTACAAATAACTAAGAACATGTGATGTTTGTCTTTCTCTGACTGCCTTATTTCACTTAACATAATGATCTCCAGTTCCATCCATGTTGTTACAAATGACTGGATCTCATTCTTTTTTGCAGCTGTATAGTACTTCATTGTGTATCTGTGCCACATTTTCTTTATCTATTCATCTGTTGATGGACACTTAAGTTGCTTCCTTAGCGTTGCAGCTATTGTAAACAGTGCTGCAACAAACAAAAGGGTACAGATATCTCTTCGATATACTGATTTCCCTTCTTTTGGGTATATACCCAGCAGTGGGATTGCTGGATCATATGGTAGCTCAATTTTTAGTTTTTTGAGGATCTCCAAACTCTTCTCCATAGTGGTTGTACTAATTTACATTGCCACCAACAGTGTACAAGGGTTCCCTTTTCTCTACATCTTCACCAGCGTTTGTTATTGCCTGTCTTTCGGATAAGCCATTGTAACTGAGGTGAGATGCTATCTCATTGTGGTTTTGATTTGCATTTCAATTGAGAGAACTGTTTACAACTCTATCTTGATCATCAGATCCTATAGAGTTTTAAACAGTTCTCTCAATTGAAAATGTGGGTCAGGTACAGTGGCTCATGCCTGTAATGCCAGCACTTTGGGAGGCTGAGGTGGGAGGATCACTTGAGCCCAGGAGTCCAAGACCAGCCTGGACAATATGGCAAAACCCCGTCTCTACTAAAAACACAAAAATTGGCCAAGCATGGTGGTGTGTGGCTGTAACCCTATAATCCCAGCTACTTGCAGGGGTTGAGGTGGGAGGATCACTTGAGCCCAGCAGGTCGAGGCTGCAATGAGTCATGTTTGTGCCACTGCACTCCAGCCTGGGCAACAGCAGCAGACCCTGTCTCAAAAAAAAGAAAGAAAAAGAAAAAGAAAAAGGAACAGGAAAATAAAAAGTGTGCTCGCAACAAGAAAGTATGGTGCTTCTGCTCTTTCAATGCTTAGGGCTGGAAGAAGGGCAGGTCCTTGTTAATGGCTTAGGAGTGAGATGATTCAGAAAAGGTGGTGGTCCCCAGGCTGGTCAAAGAGGTCTTTTTGCTCCTTGAGGGAACTCACTCTGCCCAAGCCCGCAGTGAGGACAGGAACCAAGCCCCCCTTTCCCCTTTCAGCTTCGGTCTGGACTAGAAAGAAAGCCAGGGGGGATGGGGCTGGGCAAAGAGGGGCACTGGGCAAACCCACTCACCCTCTCCCACCCCTTGCCAGTCCCTCTTACTTGGGGTGCCTGATGGGAACTTCCAACACCAGCTCTGGAGGAATCTGGAAGAGCTCAGGGTCATTGCCGTTGGCCTGAAGCAGGAGCGGCAGGACATCGAAGCGGCCTCTAGGCGGTTTCCAGCCCTGCTGTATGCATATCTGCAAGCAGACCCGGCCAGGTAATGCCACTGTACCCCACACCCTACAAACACAACCCTTATGTGGGAAGCGGGGGTGGGGTGGATAGAGATCCAAATGCAAGCCCCCAGGAGACATTTCCTCTGGAGGCTCTTGGACCACATCACCTGCTTTATAGAGTTCTCCCTGACATCACCATGTATTAGGTTGGTGCAAAAGTAATTGCGGGTTTTGCCATTACTTTCAATAGCAAAAACCACAATTATTTTTGCACTAACCTAGTAACTAGCATGAGTTCTCATGGGCCCACAGGACAGAGGGCAAACCCTTCCTCTAGTACTGAGCTTTGTTTTCCAGGTCTTCCCTGCCCACTGGAATTCCCAGAGGGCAAGGGCTGAACCTGACTAACAAGTGCATCTGCAGGCTGCCAGCTCTGTGTTTGTAATAATATAAGGTATTGTAAGATACAAAGAAAATCTGCTGAATTTGATGAAGGCAGATGTATTAGAATTACAGTATAAAATGCATTTGTTAGAGCAGCTGTCCAATAAAAATATAATGCAAGCCACCTAAGTAATTAAAACTTTCTAGTAGCCACATTAGAAAAAAAAAACAACTGGTGAAAATAATTTTGATTTTATCTTTTTTTTGCTAGGCTTCTTCAAATCATGGGAGAAAATAATATTAATAATATACTCATCTTAAAGTTCAATAATGTCCTTGATATTAATATTAATTTATTAATAGTATATTAAATATTACTATCATATATTCTAATTATATATTTGACATTAAAATTAAATATGTAACACTTATTCATCTAATATATCAAATAATACATTAAATATCAACATTAATTTATTAATAATAAATTATCAATATGAGTGTATTTAAATAATATATTTAACATTAAAAATAAAAATATACTTATTAATCCAGTGAATCTATTAATTTGTTAATAAATATATTACCCTAATGTATCCATATTATTACTATTTCAACATTAAAAATGATCAATGGGCCGGGCGCGGTGGCTCACGCCTGTAATCCCAGCACTTTGGGAGGCAGAGGTGGGCGGATCATGAGGTCAGGATATTGAGAGCATCCTGGCCAACATGGTGAAACCCTATCTCTACTAAAATACAAAAAATTAGCCGGGCGTGGTGGTGCGCATCTGTAGTCCCAGCTACTCAGGAGGCAGAGGCAGGGGAATTGCTTGAACTCAGAGTTGCAGTGAGCTGAGATTGCACCACTGCACTCCAGCCTGGCAACAGAGTGAGACTCCATCTCAAAAAACAAAAAAAAAACCAAAAAAAACAAACCAAGATCAATGAGTTATTTCCCTCTCTTTTTTGGACCCAGACTTCGAGATCCAGTGTATATTTTCTCTTATGGCACATCTCAACTGGGACTGGCCACATTTCAAGTGATCAATAGCCACATGTGTCCCTATTAGACAGGGCAGGGTTAGAGGGTTTCAAAAGGTAAAATTGCATGGTTAGGTTTGGAATGATTCTTTGTGCTTAGTAAAAAGAGGAAACACCAAATCATGGAACAGGAGAACATGTCCCGCTCAGCAAGGTTTCCAGAGATGGAGCGAGAGGAAGAGGTTGGGGCATTTATGTTCTGGTGACCACGAGGACAAGGTCAGCCAAGTACACACAGTTAGTGCTCAGCCAAGTGGAGCAGGGAGTCTGAGCCTGGCTGCTTCTAAAACAGCACAGGTGCAGCTCCTGGTTGCCCTGGTTACAGTCCCCTCCTCATGAGAATAACATTTTCATAAGAAAAGCCACATGCAAATGAAGTCGGCAGCCAGGAGGGAGTGGAGCAGCCCTTAGCCTTGCCAGCTACATCTTCAAGGAGGTACCACCCGGGAGGGGCTTGAGCAAAGGACGACGGTGAAATTCAGCGGGGTATTATTTGGGTGATAAAGGAAAGGTGGTAGCAGGCCTGTGTGCCTGAGATCATTCTAGACACGGGATGTGCTTGTGCTGTCATGTGGGCATGGTCCGTATAAGCTACCATATCTTACCTGTGCTACCTGCCCGCACTACCACCTGGAAGGAACTCTGGGCAGGGAGATGGTGGTAGTCACTTTCCTGGTGGCTTTTATGAATTGACTTGGGCTACCAGTAACTGTAGTGATGCTGGTGACAGACAAAGTCAAGCCTACTCAAAGGCTTGGGTGGCTCAAATTGTTGTATCAACAAATGAAGGAATGAAATGAAACTGACATTATCTCGTAACTCAGAAAAGGTGGATGCCAGATATGGCTTCCATTTCTCGGCTCTTCCCTTCCTGGTGAGAGGCAGGAGATTTGGACTGTAGTTCTAGCTTTTCTTCTCTACTCATTTGGCAGTCTTGAGTAACTCACTTGGCCTTGGTGAGACTCGGTCTACCCATCTGTGAAATGGGAGAACAGTTCCCATCAGGAGGGCTGAGTGAGGTAATGGCATGAAAGTGACCAAATGTCCAGCTGTAAAAGAATTAGATTGGGGAACAGCCTGATGGAGAAGCAGGTTTGGAGAAGAGTAAATGACCCCATCAGCGGATCTCCTGTGATGATAGCATTAAGCCCGAAAAAGTCTGTGGTCTGGGGACATAAGAGCCCATGTTGGGGCAGGGTAGGGGGCGGAAACGCTCGCACCTCTGTGAACTGCACATTGGCTGGGTCCCCCAGGGTGGAGCCGTCAGGCTGCTTGTAGCCAGCGTAGCGGATGAGCTGGGAGTTCCAGACTCGGAAGTCGTGCTTGCCGTCTGTCCTCTGGGGGAATATGGTGATGGCAGACCTGTGGTGGAGAGAGGGGAACACCCGGCATCAGGGCGGGACTTGCGCTGTGGGAACATACTAAACATGGCGCCACCCAGGGCGACAGCTGCTTGAGGCTCAGGGTAGATTACCTCCGTGCCAAGGTCCCCAGGGCCAATGGAGCAGCGGTCGGAAGGGATGGGCCGTGCTCTGTTCCTCCACCAGAACTATGGTGTGAGGAAAACGGTGGAGGGGGTGGGAGCTCCCATGCCACCATGCTGAAGGAAAGAATCTCTTTCTAGCTGGAGACTTTTAAATAATATTGACTTGAGCCAGTCTTCCAAAGAGTTCTTTTGCAGCCAGTCATTTCCACGGAAACATCAGACCTTGTTTCCCTTTAAGAATGCACTAGACGCCGGGCGCGGTGGCTCATGCCTATAATCCCAGCACTTTGGGAGGCCGAGGCGGGTGGATCAGGAAGTCAGGTGTTTGAGACCAGCCTGGCCAACACAGTGAAACCCCGTCTCTACAAAAATACAAAAAGTCAGCTGGGTGTGGTGGCGCACGCCTGTAATCCCAGCTACTTGGGAGGCTGAGGCAGAAGAATCGCTTGAACCTGGGAGGCAGAGGTTTCAGTAAGCCAAGATCACACCACTGCACTCCAGCCTGGGCGACAGAGCGAGACTCCATCTCAAAAAAAAAAAAAAAAAAAAAGGAATGCACTACAGGCCAGGCATGGTGGCTCATGCCTATAATCCCAGCACTTTGGGAGGCCAAGGCAGGCGGATCACGAGGACAAGAGATGGAGACCATCCTGGCACACATGGTGAAACCCTGTCTCTACTAAAAATACAAAAATTAGCTGGCTGTGGTGGGGGGTGCCTGTAGTCCCAGCTACTCGGGAGGCTGAGGAGAATCGCTTGAACTCGGGAGGTAGAGGTTGCAGTGAGCCGGGATCACACCACTGCACTCCAGCCTGGCAACAGAGCAAGACTCCCATCTCAAAAAAAGAAAAAAAAAAAAAAAAGAATGCACTACAGAATCCCGATTCCAGTCTTCTTCCAGCCATCATTAATTTTATCCACTTTGCCCACCCTCCTTACCAAACCAAAGTTTATAGACTTATCATTAAAAAGCAATCAGCTTGCATTTGTATTCACATTTATTTATTTAAAAGAAAATTGCAGGTCACCAGCCATTGGCTTTGCCTGCCTAAATAGGCAACAGTGAAGGCTGTATTCTTTTATTAATTGTGGAAAGATGTTGTCTGCTGAAGGTCCTAGCTGGAGCCCTGGTCTCTATGTTAAAAGGGAGATCAGCAAGTATTAGGTGTTAACAATATCTTAGCACCAAACTGAGCCTTTCTCCTCAACATCATCATCAGGATTGGAAAAAAAAAAAAGGAAAGGAAAATAACTTTTTCACGATGTAGTTCAATGTCATCTCACAGCAGGAGCTCTTGCCAGCTGGATTCGCTGGCCCCCCATCCCAGGCTATGGAAACATGGTCCTGGCTTCTTGTGTCAACAAAAAGATGGCATCTCGGGTCCAACTCCTTGCTTATAGATCTCTTCTCACATATACATTTCTGTCCAGAACTGTGTCCCTGCTGATCCCCTTGGCTGGAATCCCCCTCTTCCATTTTATGTCCAAGTTCAAGACCTGATTCAAATCTGCTTCCTCCATACAGCAACCCCTGTCTCATCTAGTTTCATAGAGCCTTCTTTCTGAGCACGGTTTTTAGGTCTTGCTCTCTACACAAGACAACGTAGCATGTAATTCTGCTGGGGTGATGCATCACAGCTGAGGGTGAGTCTAGAATCCAGGCTGGAGGCCAAAATCACATAGAGGCAAAGATGCTCTTAAAGATCTCTTAACAGAGGCGCCATCTTGGAGATGAACACGGAGTGAGTCAAACAGTTTTCCCTCCAGCACTAAAACACATTGCTGTTTCTCTGGTTGAACATCCGATAAAGGGTGTTTGTGTAATGTGTATATTTTAAAAGTGTGTTTAGAAACACTAGAATCACACACAGTGAGTGGGGTGTGATGCCTACTCTATGTGCAGAAACTGAGACCAACAGAGGAACCAGAACACACATCTATACCTGTACTCTCCTGCTTCCCTCAGCACAGTGTAAACCTGCATCTCTCCCTCTCTTCTTCTCTCTGCTGTCCTTCCCCTCTATGCACAGATTATTCCTATAACATTATATATATATATATATATATTTTTTTTTTTTTTTTTGAGACAGTCTCACTCTGTCACTCAGGCTGGAGTGTGGAGTGCAGTGGTGCAACCTCGGCTCACTGCAACCTCCACCTCCTGCGTTCAAGCAATCCTCCCACCTCAGCCTCCCAAGTAGCTGGGACTACAGGCACACTCCAGCACGTCCTACTAATTTTTTGCATTTTCTGTAGAGATGGGGTTTCACCATATTGCCCAGGCTGGTCTCAAACTCTTGAGCTCAAGTGATCCATTCACCTTGGCCTCCCACCTTGCTGGGATTTCGGGCGTGAGCCACAGCGCCCAGCTGCATGGTATACATTCTTATACAGTTCTCATCGCTTTCAGACATGAGGGTTAAAAACTATAGAAAGAAAAAGAATCTGCTGAATGTTTTCTTTAATAGAAGATCTCACAAAGACCCCTTAATACAGCAGTGAAAAAAGTGGAGGTGCACTGCTGGGACTGGGGTGACCCATACTCAGAGCCTGCTCAGAGCCCCATTTGAAAACTACCAGAAGAGACTAGGCGTGGTGGCTCACACCTGTGATCCCAGCACTTTGGGAGGCCGAGGCAGGTAGATAGCTGAGGTCAGGAGTTTGAAACTAGCCTGGCCAACATGGTGAAACCCTGTCTCTACTAAAAATACAAAAATTAGCTGGGCATGGTGGTGTGTACCTGTAATCCCAGATACTCGGGAGGCTGAGGCAGGAAAATTGTTTGAACCTGGGAGGTGGAGGTTGCAGTGAGCCAAGATTGTGCCACTGTACTTCAACCTGGGTAACAGAGCAAGACTCTGTCTCAAAAAAAAAAAAAAAAAAAAAAAGGAAATCCACCAGAAGAGCCCATAAACTCTTTGAGGGCCTAATCTCGACCAGGTCCGGATACACAAGAGGGTTCTTTAATATTCTTTAAGGGGTGAGGTCTCTTGGAAAAGAGTTGTCTTGGGAAAGACACCTAAATACCAATTCCTCATGCAGGCCCAGGCTTAGATTACAGGCCGTTTTCTTACTGGTGGACTCAGAAAATTGGCAAACACCATTTCCTTCTTACGGAAGAGAAGAGACACATCTAAGAAAACCCATGTTTCATGCAAAGAAGCCACTTTTGGATGAACTCAGTGAAGCCCGGGCGCTTGTGGGAATATCTCTGCAGTGATCCTGTGTGGCTCCAAGATGGGGCTAGTGCTCAGTGGCTGGGAACAGATGCCGTGGCAGCAGTGAGCGGGCAGAGTCAACAAGTGTAGCCGGCTGTCTGTGGGGCCCCAGCTGTTCATTTCCACCTGTCCCTCTCCCAGCTGAGACTTGCCAGCGTGGCCGCCACCAGCCACATGGATGTCTGCCTGCCTCGGCCTGCTCCCTGTGGCTTTGTTCTTTGTATTGGTGAAGACGAGTCCAAGGCATGGCTTGGCTGGGTGGAACCTGAAGGAGCAGTTCCCATTGTATCAGCAAGAGAAACTGCCTTTTAAACCAAGGGAGATTTGGTTTGGTTTGTCTCCAGGCGACAGAGCAAGACACAGTAAAAGCAGGTCACCACCAGCAATAGGATTTTCTGATTCCTGGGAATCTCAACTATTTGTTCCTGTCCTCTCCAGGAAAGATACTGAACTGTGGGTTGAACGTGATGTTTGCTGCTGTAGTTTTGCAAACCACACAGGAATCCACTTGTCCCAGAAAAGAAGGAAAATGGGATGGTGTATGGAATAAAGATGCCGGGGCTGGGCGTGGTGGCTCATGCCTGTAATCCCAGCATTTTGGGAGGCCGAGGCGGGTGGAGCACTTGAGGTCAGGAGTTTGAGACCAGCATGGTCAACATCATGAAAGCCCGTTTCTACTAAAAATAAAAAAAATTAGCTGGGTGTGGTGGCGGGTGCTTGGGTCCCAGCTACTCGGTAGGCTGAGGCAGGAGAATCGCTTGAACCTGGGAGGCAGAGGTTGCAGTGAGCCGAGATCATGCCACTGTACTCCAGCCTGGGCGACAGAGCAAGACTCTGTCTCAAAAAAAAAAATAAATAAATAAAATAAAATAAAAAATAAAAAAAAAAGATGCCAGGACACCTCTCCCAGCTTGGCCCGTGTCCCTGAGATGAGGTGCATTTCCCTGGCAGGTGAGCTGACTCCAGAGTCAAAGTACAATGCTGTGGGGACTTTTGACCTCCTGCTCCCCAGTGCCCAGCTGGTCAGCTCACCTGAGGTTCCCTTTGTTGGTGGCATACTTGACATGGTTACAGATGTAGTTGAACATCCCGTGGGCCGTGGTGCAGTCACGGGCATCGAATACCTGGAAGAGGCACAGGGCGGAACTGATTGCCTCTTCTTTCCCTCCCCAGCTCCCCCAGCGCAATCTTCCCATTTTAGGAGAACCCAGATCCCACTCCAGCTGCTGCTACATTGGTGAAGTGGGCACCTCATTACTGAGTCCCAGGCTGCATTTTATATTTTCTCTTTTCTATCCTAATAACCAAGGCCAATTTGACCAGAAAAAAAAAAAAAATCGCCTAAAAGTAGGCACGGCATGAAAGTGAATGTGGGAAAGGAATGGCAAATGAAGGAGGGGGTTTAGATGGGCTGGTTACATTTTCTGTTAGGTTACTAGGGATTAGGGATTAAAAAACAGAACAAAAATCAAACAAAACCCCCCTGATCTTGATAACAAATCTACTTCCAACTTTAAACTATTTCCTAAAATAAAATCGTAACCAAGGGACACAGAAACTAATGCCTTCAGGGAGTAGGCAGATAAATAGGCTAAGTAGATGCAAGACAAAAGGGAGTGGTGAGGTCTGCGGTCAACTGAAAAGTATAAGCCCTCCCTTCCAAGAGATATGCAAGTTCATTTTTGCAAAAGCACTGTGTTGGCTAAATAAGACATGATTATCATCTAGAGCTGGCTGTGATCTTGGAATGTGGGACCCCGTGACCATCATCTGATAGGTCACCATGGCTACCAGGTACCCTTGGTAGAAGCTTATCCTTTTTAAAGCTCCATCCACTCCCCTTCCCCTCTTCCCTCATTTAAGGGCTCTTCAAGGTATCTGACTTCACCACCTACCTGCAGCTTGGACCACTGGATCCTGCCCACACAGCGCGAGGCATTCCGCCAGGCGTGCTTGGCCCCATAGATGAGCTCTGTGTCCTTGAGCTGGTAAGTGCTAGTGGTGTCGATCTCTTTGTTCACCTCTTCCAGCCTTTCCATGTGGGCTTTGGAGCCAAATCTGAGTGAAGAGGAAGGGACATGGGAACATCACCCCCTCTTCTGAATTAGAAGTTAGTGGAAGGGGAGAGCTATTCCAAGAGGCTGGAAGCTACAAAAAATTCCAAGTTGATTTCTGGATGCAACAGTTTGATTTCTGGATGCAAGATAAAGCAGACACTGTAAACTCAAATGGCCACAAAGGCTGAACATTGTAGATATAAGTCAACCAGCTGGGTGGGGACTGTGGCAAACAAGTGAGCCAGGCCTTGTCCAAAGCGGGCAGCCACGGCTCCACTCCTGTCAGTTGTCACCTGACAGGAGTGGGGACCCAGGACTGCTAAATCTTTCCAGAGAAACTGGAAATCTGAGTTTTAAGGGGAACTCTTATAATTTTTAAATGTTGGCAATGAATTCAATTTTAGAAAGTTAGAAAAATTTTTGGTTTACAAAATGGTATACAGGATAATATAATAAACTCCCATGTCCCAAGCCTAAAAAATACTATAATAGTTTCTTGGGGAATACTTCCCCACTGTAGCCCATTCTGTCCCCAGAAGTGACTGCTATCTTGAACCTGGCATTTACCATTCTCATACACTTGTTCATATCTTTGCCACATGTATATCTATCCTTCAATCATGTACAATATCATTTTGCATGTTTAAAGCATTCATATAGGCATACAGGCCGGGTATGGTGGCTCACACCTGTAGTCCCAGCACTTTGGGAGGCCGAGGAGGGTGGATCACTTGAGGCTAGGAATTTGAGACCAGCCTGGCCAACATGGCAAAACTCTGTCTCTACAAAAAATACAAAAATTAGCTGGGTGTGGTGGTGCGTGCCCGTAATCCCAGCTACTCAGGAGGCTGAGGCAGAGAATCGCTTGAGTCTGGGAGGCAGAGGGTGCAGTGAGCCAAGATCATGCCACTGCACTCCAGCCTGGGTGACAGAGCAAGACTCTGTCTCAAAAAAATAAATCAATAAAAAAATTCATATAAATGGTGCTATACTGGATGTATCCTTTTACAATTTATCCTTTCTTTTGCTCAAAGTTAGCTATGAACATGAACTTAAATTCCATTAACATGCAGAGCGCTAATCCCTTTGATTTTTACAGTTGTTATAGTATTCCATCACTGGAATATACCATAACTTACCCATTCTCCTGTTGATGGTGTTTATGTGGTTTCTTTCTTTTGTTTTTTTTTGAGATGGAGTCTCGCTCTGTTCGCCCAGGCTGGAGTGCAGTGGTGTGATCTTGGCTCACTACAACCTCCACCTCCCGGGTTCAAGCAATTCTCATGCCTCAGCATCCCAAGTAGCTAGGATTATAGGTGTGCACCACCATGCCCTACTAATTTTTGTATTTTTAGTAGAGGTAAGATTTCACCATTTTGGCCAGGCTGGTCTTGAATTCTTGGGCTCAAGCAATCTGCCCGCCTCAGTCTCCCAAAGTGCTGGGATTACAGGCGTGAGCCACTGCACCTGGTCTCTTGTTAGTTCTTTAATTTAATTTTTTCCTGCTATAAACAATGTTTCAGTGAACATTCTTACTGATGGTTCCTTGTGAACAGGTGTGAGAATTTCTTTAGGGTATGTATCTAGGCATGGAATTGCTTGAAATCTTTCAAATTATAAGCAACCCTTTGCAGGTGAAACAAAAGCACTTCTGGGGAACAGATGTGACCTATGGGTAGCCAGTCTTAAGCCTCTGTGTATGGCAGAGGCCTTGTGCCTTGGCCTTGGTTTGCAAAGTTGGGGCTGACATCTTTCTCTCCAGCATTCGATAACTTACCTCGGGCTCCCCGGAATTGACACACACTTGCCTTTTAATTGATGAATAGTATTGATCAATAAACTCTTTGGCGAGAGGGAAGAGCTGTCCTTTTGTGCGGACGTCTTCAGGCCTCCTTGCATGCTGAGAAGGATGCATGATGGAGCCCATGCAGATGTACTCAGTGCATCCCGTTTCCTGGAAGATCAAGAGATTTGGGGTATTGCTTGGTTTTACCCAAGAGTGGCAGGTGTTAGGCTGTGGGCTTGGATCTCGTACTCATGGTTGAGTTTATCTGGCCCTTAATTCCCAGAGGCAGTTTCTCAAGTACCAGCTTCAAATCCTTGGTGGATATGATCATAGTCATGTTAAGGAACAATAAGTAGCATTTTAAGGTTCCTAAAGTATTTGCTCTACTCATCTTGGGAACAGAAGCTTTTTGACTAGGAATCAGAATCATTGGTACTAAAATCTGAAATATTTTTAGATTTTGCATGATGATCAAGGAGGAACTAATAGAGTGGCTACAGTAACTCATTTGAATGCATCTATGATAGACTGATTGCAAAACAGGACCCTAATTTTTCCCCTCCCTGTATTCACACCCTTTGAGATGTGGCTTTACAACAATTCTCCATGAAGAAGTGGAACCTATCCCTTAACCCCTTGACTCTGGGCTGGTTTTGACCCTTAGGATGTGGCAGAAATGACCCTGTGACAACTCTGAGTCTAAGCCTCAAGAGTTCTTGCATGTTTCTGCTCATTCTCTTAGAACCCTGCAACTACATGTGAACAAGCCCAAGCTAGCTTGCTGGAAGAGGAGAGACCACATGGAACAGGGTTGAGTTATCTCAGCCAGGACCATCCTAGACCACCCTGACCTTAGCTGACCCCTCAGATGTAACTACAGATGCATGAGAAAGCCTCACCAAAATCAACAGAGTCTGGACCAGATCAATCACTGATCTACCCAGCCAATCCGTAGACTTTTGAAAAATAATACATAGTTTTAATAGTTGTTTTCAGCCACTAAGTTTCAGGGCAATTTGTTACATTGTAATAGCTTGCAGATACCATTCTTCCAAGAGGCCCAGGTTCAACAAAAATTTAAAGCAATATAATGGTTTGTTGACTATTAAAAATATGAAATAAAAATACTGAGGACACACTGTGAAATCAAGGAAGGGTTTGTTTAATACTCCACCAGTGGTCAGACTGTGAGAGACAGAGATGATATTCGCAAGCAGCAACTTCCCTTAGATTCTTTTGTGTACTGGGTTCACAAATAAAAAGCATTTACATAAGAGAGTGAGAATCCACCAGTGGTTCTCAAACAGGGGTGAATTTCTTGCCCAGGGAATGTTAGGTAATGTCTTGGAGACTGTAAGAGTTGAAGAAGGAAGAAAGAAACATGAAAAGTGGCTTAACAGTCAGAGACAGGTTTATTTTAAAGAATAAACCTGAGAGGGGCTTCTGGCCAAGTTAGGTTAGGAGCACTCTTTATTGTTTTTCTTTAAGTTCGGGATACACGTGCAGAACGTGCAGGTTTGTTACATATGTATACATGTGCCATGGTGGGCACCTATCAACCCATCATCTAGGTTTTAAGCCCCGCATGCATTAGGTGTTTGTCCTAATGAGGAGCACTCTTTTTTACAGACTAAGAGTATTTAAGGGTTTAGGGTGGTAGAGCTTATCACAAGCTTGGAATGTTTCTGTGTCTCTTTGTCTTGCTTATCTGGGAGGGAGAGTTTTTGTGTCTGTTCCCATATATTTTCTTGCAGCTGCAGGCATACCCCGCAAGTCTGCTTTTAGCTTCCCTATCTTTGTGCATCTAAAGGGAAAGGAATATGCTTATTAAGGCCCACTGTTTTACTGGAGCCCATTGTATGAGTTTGAAGTTTGGTGGTTACCCAAGAGACTTTCCCCCCTCCCTGTGTGCCCGAGCTGTCTTATCTGTGTTTTACTATCTGCTTTTTCTGGCTGCTTGTTGTTAGAAGGGAGGTGATTTCCTTGAAATACATGAAGTTAGAAAGGGAGCTGGAACTTAAAATGGCAGTGTTTGCCCAAGACGGCAGTGCTCCTGCTCTGTCAGAGACATTTTTGGTTGTCACAACCTGGAAGGGGGCGTACTGACATCTAGGGGGTATGGGTCAGGGGTGGTGCTCAACACCCTACAACAGAGGACAGCCCCCACAACAAAGACTTATCCGACTCCAAATGTGGATAGTGATGAAGCTGCCACCCTCTCATCTACACCCTGCTGGGATACTTACCAATGTGCTCTTAAGGTGGAGGGTGTCAGTGAGAACCACCTCAGTCTCCCAGTTCTTGACCTTGAGGAAGCGTGGACACTTGGAGGGGCTGCCATTCTTTGTGGGGGACTGTTTTCCTGAGGTGGGGGGCTGCAGGAGAGAATGAAGGTGGAAGATGAGGCAGGGCCTTGAGTGGACTGTAACATTGTCTCCACAGAGGCTGGGAGAGCCATTGTTCTTCCTGGGATCTGCCTTGAGTGACCAACTGTCTACATCCAGAGTAAGATCCAGCCCTTCCTGCTTGACATGTACAAGGTTCCTGGGAACCTGATTTCCCCACTTACATGGAAAGAAACACCATGGAAGAGCCTCTAGGATTCTGCTCTGGGGAGAGGGGTCAGGAACTCAAAGGTGGTCTCTCTGGTTCAACAGGGTCGGACACACTGAGGAAGGACTCGGTGAATATTTGTTGAATGAATACATGACTGAAAGGACACCATCAGCCTCTTTGAATGATAATAGCCCCCAGCACCGAGGAATCAAACCTAAAGCTGGGTCGATTTACTTGGATTTCTAGGCCTTTCTGTGACAGTCCAAACTCACCATTTCTGGCGAGTACTGAGAAAACAGAAAGATTTAAATTGAAAAATTTTGGGCCAGGCACAGTGGCTCACACCTGTAATCCCAGCACTCTGGGAGCCCGAGGTGGGCGGATCACTTGAGATCAGAAGTTCGAGATCAGCCTGGCCAACTTGGTGAAACCTTGTCTCTATTAAAAAATACAAAAATTAGCCAGGTGTGGTAGTGCACACCTGTAATCTCAGCTACTTGGGAGGCTGAGGCAGGAGAATCACTTGAACCCGAGAGGCAGAGGCTGCAGTGAGCCAAGATTGCACCACTGCACTCCAGCCTGGGAGACAGAAGGAGCCTCCATCTCAGAAAAATAATAATGAAATAAAATAAAATAAATTGAAAAAATGTGAAGCAAAGAATATTGTCCCCAAATTTCTGGTTTCTGATTTTTAAAACTTCCAGGCTTGTTCCTGCCTCAGGGCCTTTGCACTTACCGTCCCCTCTGTCTTGAACACCTACATGGAAAGAAACCATGGAAGAGCCTCTTTATGGGGACCTTTAGTCCCCCATTTGTCTTCACTCTGCAAATGATTTGGCCAGTAGGTGAGGGGGGATAAATCTCAGGCTGACCAGTGTTGGCCCATTCATTGTAGACCTCACTGATAAGGATTACATCTGTCTTTTTTTTTTTTTTTTTTTTTTGAGATAGGGTCTTGCTCTGTCACATAGGCTGGAGTGCAGTGGTCCAATCATAGCTCACTGTAGCCTTGACCTCCTAGGCTCAAGCAATCCTTCCACCTCACCCTCCCAAGTAGCTGGGACTACAGGTGCGTGTCACCATGCCCAGCTAATTTCTTATATATTTTGTAGAGATGGGGGTCTCACTATGTTGCCCAGGTTGGTCTTGAACTCCTAGACTCAAGTAATCCTCCTGCCTCAGCCTCCCAAAGTGTTGGGATTACAGGTGTGAGTCATCGTGCCTGGCCTAGGATCACATCTGTCTTGGATGCTCCTGGGTTATTGTCTACCTGCCTGGGTACAGGCACACACATGCATCAGGCAAGCATTGGTCACTTAGTAACTCTAAGGGAGGGGCAGCAGGTGCACCCTGATGCGAAAGCCAAGCAAGATCAGGGAGAAGATGAGCCAATGTTAAGTGACACTCATGCAAAGAGTACATCAGTGCACAGTGACCTTGAGGCAGGGCATTCATACATTCAATTAGCATTTATTGAGCACCTATTATAATACATGCTCAATAAATAGGCACTGGGGATTCAGCAGTGAAGAATACAGACAGGTACCTTGCCCTCTGGAGTGTTATGTGGTAGAGGTGGAGATAAACAGTAAGTAAACTAATATAGGGTCAGTATAATTCCAGGTGATGATAAGAATAGAAAATGGGGAGGTGACTGTAACTAAGTGGAGGGGAGAAGGGCAAGTGCAAAGGCACTGACATGGGAATGAACTTGTTAAGTTCAAAGGACCAGCAAGGAGGTTGAGTGTGGCTGGAGTGTATGCATGAGGGCAAGTGTAAGGAGATAAAATCAGAAAGGAGGCAGGGCACTCATCTCACTGGCTTGGAGGAGCTCAGGCTGGTGACGGTAGCTGTGAATTATGATCAAATGAGCTGGATCAAAGTCCAGGATAGAAGTCACAGAGAACTGCGAAGGACTAATACTGAAGACTAACATTAAATGAGCACTGATTATGTGCCAAGCAACAACCTTATTATCTCCATTTTACAGATTAGGAAACTGAGGCACAGAGAGGTTAAGTTGCCCAAGATTGTAGAGCTAATAAGCTGAAGAAAGGAGTCCAATCCAGGCAGTCTGGCTCCCAAACCATGCCCTTAACAGCTTGACTATCCTGCCTCCTGGCCATCAGGAATAATTCATTAATTTAACACATGTTTATTGAGTAGTTCCTATGTGCCAGGTGAGGCAGCAGAGACCAAGACTATAGTGACAAGCTAGATGGATGTGATCTCTGCTCCCATGGAGTCACAGTCCTGTAGGGGGTGACGAAAACTGAATGAGCCATTGCAATCGATTTAGCACAATGGATGCCATTACATGGGACCTTGGCAGCACAGGGGAGGTGGGAGCACATAGAAGACACATCTAACTTCTAGGTCAAGACCAGAAGATGAGTACGTGCTAGCCAGGCAAGGAAGAGGAAGCAAGGTCTTACAGGCAGAGAGAACAGATCATGCAGAGGTCCTGAGTTAAGAGAACTATCATGGCCACCTTTGCAGCCAGCGGAATAAGAGTTCTGAGTTCTGTGTTAAAGCATTCATGGCGCCATGTTGGAGCCTGGGGAACAGGAGGTGGGGAAGAGCGTGCCACTGTTAAAGACTGCTCCGGAAGAGTGCAGGCTGTGGCAGCACAGGGAACACACGGAAGGTGCTAGGATTCATAATCTTCCACGGCTCCTGGCCCTCGCCAGATCTGGTCCTCCTCAGTGCCGGGCGCTACCAACCATCTGTGCAGGACAAGCCACGGGTGGGAGCTATCTTAATCATCAGCCTCTTCTCTATCTCCCACACCCAACTCATCACTGACTCTCCCCCATTTTAGCTTTTTAACTAGCTCTAGAATCCATTCACTCCTCTCCCCTTCCACTGGCCAGCACCCTGACTAAGTCATCTCTTACTTGGATGATCATAGTCACCCCTAAATGTTAGCCATTATTTATTATTATAAATGTTATTATTATGTGACTACTAGCCCAATTTACAGTATTAGAAGTATTTCTTGTAGTACTGCAATACTTCTGCAAGTATTATTACTTGTATTACTTGTATATTATTACTTGTATTATTATTACTACTTGTATTATTACTTGTATTACTATTATTACTTGTATTATTATTACTTATATTATTACTTGTATTACTATTATTACTTCTGCAAGTATTACTACTACACTACCACACTGGGAGCATGATAAAGGTTTGGGCGAGTTCTTTCCTTTGTTCCTCATTTATACTTTCTAGCCTGTCTAAGTTATTGTGCCCATGTTTCCCTAGGAAGTTGGATACAAACAACCCCACTTTGTTCAAACGTCTGGCCAGGCACCCTAAACACTTCTTTAAGATCCTGTCTCCCCTCCTGTGTCTTCCAGGAGGAGTCTTGGAGGTGATGAAAGTCACATCTGGGCAGGGCTTTGTAGCAAACACATCCCTCTGATTGTGCCCACAACCTGTATCATTGAGAAAAAAAACAAATAATCCTACCTTGCCCACAGGAAGGCACCCCAGCCATTCTCCCTACATACCCAGTTTCACTCAGCCAGTTTAGAAACCCTCTCGGCCACCCATGTGAACACTGTAGAGGCTGAGGAGCAGCTGAAATCCCAGGGCGGGGATGACAGATGTGGTGATGACATCGGGTCTGGGCCCAGGACTCAGAGGGTGGGGGGCCAGGCGTGAGGAGGAGGAGCAGGGTGTGGCCTGTGGGCGGCAGCCGACAGTTTTCATCACCAGGGAGGGGGAGGAGCGAGATAACAGGACTAATAAAAGAGGCCATCTGTTGAGGTCCCAGATGTGCGAGGGGTGGTCGTTACGAGTCAAGTAATTGGCTGCCCGAGTGCGAGCCGTGCCACCCTCCGCCCTGGGTTTCACTGGATTGCACACTTGAAACCAGGCATTAGGAGGCTTCTGGCAGGGCTGTTGTACTTGGCACTTTGATGTTTTAATTAGCCAGCAGCAATATTAGATGACTCAGGAGGGGAGAAACGGGGAGATTAATATAGCAGTCAGGGGCCCTGCATGCAGGATGCAAATGACTATTCTGAGTGGGCACCAAAGTTCTCCTGGTCAAAATGCAGATTAGCAGCACTTGTGAGTTATTATGTTGGGCACAGGGCACAAGTGGGCTTTGGGCTGTGGCTACATACTCCCTTTTCTGGCTTTATGTCTGTGGTGGGGACAAGGGAAGCTTTTAGGTGGGAGGAGACATTGGCTCGCTCTTTGTGGACCCCTGGGACACCCGCCCCTAAGTGTGCAAAGGAGGCCATGATCTCATGGGCATTTTCATAGCCTTGTCAACACCTCTTTGCCTAGGAAGCTTGCAGAGGCCCTGAAGGAATGAAAGGAAATGGTCCTGCAGCCAGGCTCAAAAGGAGGCAGGGAGGTGCGGTCACGTCAGCCTGGGCTCCAGAGCTGAGAATGCCACTTCCAAGGACTGCTGAAGCTCTGATTCCTTTTCCCCTCTCCTTTTCTCCCTTCTTTCTCCCCTTCAACAAGTGCATATTGAGCACCTACTATATTTTGGGGACTAGTATTCTAGGACTCAGCAGCCACTGAATGACTCTCATCCCACAACTGGGAAAAGCATCTTACAGCTGCTTCTTCTAAAGCAGAGATCTGCAGACGGCGTGGCCCACTGTCTGTTTTTGTACAGCTTCTGAGCTAAGAAGGATTTTTTCCATTTTTGGGTTATTGAATGCAAAAATCAAAAGGAGAATATTTTGTGACACACAAAAGTTATATGATGTTCAAATGTTAGTATCCATAAATAAAATTTCATTGGGGCTCATTTGAGTCCATATAGCATGTGGCAGCTTTGACATGACAATGTCAGAGCTGGCTAGTATTTTGATAGAGTCCAAGGCCATGTGGCCCACAAAGCCAAAAATATTTATCTTGTCCTTTAGATAAAAGGTTTGTGGATGCCTGATGTAAAGGGTTGAATTCCAGTGGCTGACCCCGATCACTGCGTTTGCTCAAATGCCGTCATGTTAGAGATCTTTCCTGATCATTCTTTTTTTTTTTTTTTTTTTTGAGACAGAGTCTCACTCTGTCGCCCAGGCTGAAGTGCAGTGGTGTGATCTTGGCTCACTGCAACCTCCATCATCTTCTGGGTTAAGTGATTCTCCTGCCTCAGCCTCCTGAGTAGCTGGGATTACAGGCATGCACCACCATGCCTGGCTAATTTTTCTATTTTTTTTTTTTTTAGTAGAGACGAGGTTTCACCATGTTGGCCAGGCTGGTCTCGAACTCCTGACCTCAGGTGATCTGCCCACCTCAGCCTCCCAAAGTGCTAGGATTACACATGTGAGCCACTGTGCCGGCTGTGATCATTCTTTAAAGCAGTGTCACTTCCTTGTCATTCTCTGCCCCCAATCACCCTTACCATGCTTTGTTTTCCCCATAGCACTTAACACTACCTGTGGTCATCATGAGCATATATGTACCTGGACATGTATGTGCACACCTACATTTCTATATCTTGTAGATATAGATTTACATTTACCTATATAGGCATTTAGATAATACTTGTTTTCTGCCTACCCACTGTTCAGTTTGTTCTATCCCTGAAACAGTGCCCAGCACACAGTATATGTTCAATAAACATATGAGATCTGCATGAGACTGCATTCTGTCCTTCCTCCAAATTTATTTGAAGCCTGTGATAGTTAATACTGAGTGTCAACTTCATTGGATTGAAGAATGCAAAGTACTGTCCCTGAGTGTGTCCGTGAGGGTGTTGCCAAAGGACACTAACATCTGAGTCAGTGGACTGGGAAAGGCAGACCCACCCTCAATGTGGGTGGGCACAATCTAATTAGCTGCCAGTGCAGCCAGAAGAATAAAAGCACCAGAAGAACATAAAAAGACCAGACTGGCTTAGCCTCTGAGCCTACATCTTTCTCCCGTGCTGGATGCTTCCTGCGCTTGAACATTGGACTCCAAGTTCTTTAGCTTTGGGACTCGGGCTGGCTTCCTTGCTCCTCAGCTTGTAGATGGCCTATTGTGGGACCTCACCTTGTGTTCGTGTGAGTTAATACTCCTTAATAAACTCTTTATATATACATCTATTCTATTAATTCTGTCCCTCTAGAGAACCCTGACTAATACAAAGCCCTAACCTCCATCCCCCACCCCCATGTGATTTTGTTGGGAGATAGAACTTTTAGGAGATAATGAAGGTTAAACAAGATCATAAGGGTGGGGCCCTAATCTGATAGGATTGGTGGCCTTATATGAAAAGGAAGAGAGAGCTCTTTCTCTTTGTCTGCCATGTGAGGACACAGAGAAGGCAGATGTCTGCAAGCTGACAAGAAAGCCCTCTCCAGAACCTGACCATGCTGGCACCATGATCTTGGACTTCCAACCCCCAGAACTGTGAGCTGTAAATTTCTGTTGTCTAAGCCACCCAGGCAATGGTCCTTTGTGATTAAAACCTGAGCAAACTAACACAAGGTCTAAAAAGTTTCAACACTGTAGAGTTCCTTAAATGCTAAGCCAAGGATGTTGGCCTTGATTTCATAGAGTGAGTGATCTTATCTCAGCTGGATTTTAGGAAAGACATGATTGCAAGGATTGCAGGAGGGAGAGGGTCAAGGCAGAGAGACCCATGAGGAGGATGGTGCAATGAGGCCAGGAGTAGCCATGGGGTTGGAATGCAGCTGCAGGGGCAGCAGGACTGGAAGCAGGGAACTGAAGGTTGGGGGCTCTGGAAGTGGAACTGAGAGTCTCTGGGTAGGAGAGGATCGGGGCAAAGGATAAAGTAAACATGGATTGGGTAAGTGGAAGGATGGTGGGCTTTTTTTTGAGATAGAGTTTTGCTCTTGTTGCCCAGGCTGGAGTGCAATGGTGCGATCTCAGCTCACTGCAACCTCTGCCTCATGGGTTCAAATGATTCTCCTGCCTCAGCCTCCTGAGTAGCTGGGATTACAGGCATGTGCCACCATGCCTGGCTAATTTTTGTAGTTTTAGTGGAGATGGGGTTTCTTCATGTTGGTTGGGCTGATCTCGAACTCCCGACCTCAGGTATCCGCCTGCCTTGGCCTCCCAAAGTGCTGGGATTATAGGCATGAGCCACTGCACCCAGCTGGATGGTGGGCTTTTTAGCAGACACTAGGAAGTAAGAAGCAGGTGTGCTGGGCAGTGGACAGAGGGAGATTTTTTAGGCAAGAAGACAGAAACTCAGCACCAGAACTCAGAACACCAAGACACAGAGGCCAAGCACCTGCCCTTCCCTAGTAGTGGCTGTCACTGTCACGAGCCTCACAGTGAAACCAGGACTGACAACTACACCAGGGGAGGCAGGCAGGCGCCTCCAAGACATACAACATCTTAGGAGCTATTATGGCAGCAGTCCTCAACCTTTTTGGCACCAGGGATCGGTTTTGTGGAAGACAATTTTTCCATGGACTGGTGGTCGGGGGCATGTTCAGGATGATTCAAGGGCATTACATTGATCGTGTGCACTATTTCTATTATTATTATATTATAATACACAATGAAATCATTACACAACTCACCAGAATGTACAATCAGTGGGAGCACTGAGCTTGTTTTCTGCAACTAGATGGTCCCATCTGGGGGAGATGGGAGACAGTGACAGATCATCAGGCATTAGATTCTCATAAGCGCAGGCAGCCTAGATCCCTTGCAGGTGCAGTTCACAGTAGGGTACGAGCTCCTATGAGAATCTAAGGCCACCACTGATCTGACAGGGGGCAGAGCCCAGGCGGTAATGCGAGCGATGGGGGCAGCTGTAAATACAGATGAAGCTTCACTTGCTCGCCTGCCGCTCACCTCCTGCTGTGCAGCCCAGCTCCTAACAGGCCAGTACTGGTCTGTGGCCTGGGGTTTGGGGACCCCTGTATTATGGGCTGAACCATGTCCTCCCTCCCCATCCCCATCAAATTCATATGTTGATGTCCTAAACTGCCTCAGAATGTGGCTTTCTTTGGAGTTAGGGCCTTTACAGAGGAAATCAAGTTAAAAACGAGGTCATCAGCATGGGTCCTGATCCAGTAGGGCTGGTGTCCTTAGAGAAAAGAGAAATTTGAAGGCAGATGTGCTCACAGGGAGAGCGCCATGTGAACATGAAGACGGCCACCTACAAGCCAAGGAGGGAGGACTGGGTCAGCTTCTCCCTCCCAGCCCTCGGAAGGAACCAGCACCGCCAACACCTTGATTTTGTATTTCTGGCCTCCAGAACTGTGAGGCAATCCATTCTGCTGTTTAAGCCACCAGTTGGTGGTGTTTTATTACAGCAGCCCTAGTAAACTACTCTAAGAGCTAAGGCCTAAACTTGTACAAAGCAAGTCGCTTCTTATTCTTATGCTATCGGCACCAGTGACAGCTCCTCTATTAGAGGCCTGCAGCAACCTGCCCTGTTTGGCTTGTCCTGAAATGAGGGCAGCACACTGGGGCTGAGCTGGGCAGAGGGCCATTCACACCATGGGCCAGACGCCACACACTGTGCCCTTTGCTGCAGCCCTGGGCGGCATCGCACCCACCTGTGGGTACCACCTCTCCCGGGCAGCAAGCATAACCTGGTTACAAGCTGGGACAGCTCAGGGTCCAGGCCCACAGACTCACAAAACCAGAAGGTACCCACTTATCCGTACAATTAAAAAATTGCTATGTATAGAACTTAACCAAGTGTATTTAGTACTTTGGAATATAATTTCCTTTAGTGTATTCAAAGCACTATGTCTAAAGTGATTCGTTCCTTAAGATAACTCCATAGAAACTTGACATTGCTGGCCGGGCGCGGTGGCTCACGCCTGTAATCCCAGCACTTTGGGAGGCCGAGGTGGGCGGATCACGAGGTCAGGAGATCAAGACCATCCTGGCTAACACGGTGAAACCCCACCTCCACTAAAAATACAAAAAAACTAGCCGGGCGTGGTGGCGGGCGCCTGTAGTCCCAGCTACTCGGGAGGCTGAGGCAGGAGAATGGCTTGAACCCGGGAGGCGGAGCTTGCAGTGAGCCGAGATCGCGCCACCGCACTCCAGCCTGGGCGACTGAGACTTTGTCTCCAAAAAAAAAAAAAAGAAAAAAAGAAAGTTGACATTGCTTACTCTGCCTCTCTCTCTCTCTCTCTCTCTTCTGTAATTCAACAGTCTGTAGAAGGTGATTAAAAATGGGGGTGCTTGGGAGTCAGACTCACCCAGTTAAGGATTCAGGGTGATAGTGGAGACCTCTGGAGGACCGAGGGGCATCAAGGCTGAACTTTTTAAGCTTTCTCCAAATTGCAGTGATATCATAGTATAGCCAGATGTTACTGGACAACTTTCAGCTTGGTCCCATTACCAGACCAGAATGTATATATACACTAGGAATTAATCTTAACATCAATCCTGTAATTATCTCGTGGCCTGCCCTATGATACCGCATCATACTGTGTTTGTTTGTTGAAAGCCTTAACTTGCTAAATGCAAATATTGAAAATGCACAACAAGTTTCATGTTTATGTTTTGGCCCTTGTATCTTAGAAAATCCTGGGAACCTCAGGAAATGGAAATAGGCTGGGGCTGTTGACCTGTAAGAGCCTCTGTTTGGTGGGAGGTTGGTTTTGGCAACTGATACCAATTTACAGAGAGGAAGAAAAATGACTTTGACCCAACTTGCCCTTTTTGGGAAAAGCATTTCAATATGGGGTGACGCAGTGAAGGAGCGTGCAGAGTGGTGTCACTGATTGTGAACCACAGTGTCATTGTCAGACCTGGACAACAGTTGGGACAGCCTGCATTGAATATACTCACTCTTAAAACAAACAGTTAGCAAAATATGTGGAAATTCCAGCAGGGCTGAACCCAAACACTAGTCAATTCACGCACCACTTCCTGGCTCCACCCTGGCTCTGACCACCCAGGACAGCAAGTTTGGTTGCTGGCCTCTTGGCTCAGTGACCTATAAAGACCTGGGAGTCACTGAGCAGGCGATGGCTCAGGTGGAAGGAAGGAAGATGCCTCTGGGATGGAGAGAGACTGTGTTCAGTATACATCCCTAGAAAGCATCTTGGTGGGGGGTCTGCTGGTTTGAGGGCACCCTGGGAATGTTGGATCACCCTAAGAAGTGGGGCACTGAAGATGCCTTTGGGAAAATCCAACTTGGGTATCTAGACCAAGGCAAGGGATACCTGACCTAATTGAAGTAGGGGCAAAAATGAGTTGGACTGCAGCTTAGAACTAGGGATTTGGGGCATCCTCCTACAGAGGGAAATTAATCTCAAAATGCAAGAGGTTTCTCAAATGCTTCGAGAGAGACTTAGGGAAAGGAGTAATCAAGAAGCACCCTGAGATGTCAGCCTCAAGGGAGCCGATGGACTCTGCCAAAGCCAGCCAAGGCAGCTCTGTGGGTAACATCTGTGCATGAGTCTATGAAACCCCAAATATCACAATATGATGACTACTGTGTGTATTTCCATCTGTAGTTTGTCTTGAAAGTAGAAGTTTTCAGAAGTTGAGGTGCATATCAAATGAGAAGAGGGGA
The DNA here is from genome assembly GCF_000001405.40 of Homo sapiens. Lineage (NCBI taxonomy): Eukaryota > Metazoa > Chordata > Mammalia > Primates > Hominidae > Homo > Homo sapiens. The sequence continues at coordinate 117,301,091 of NC_000012.12, forward strand.
TGGCTCGGCTGTGAACTGCTCCAGGGCAGTGATCATACTCAATTTCATTTCTCTTGAGATGGAGTCTCACTCTGTCACCCAGGCTGGAGTGTAGTGGCACCATCTTGGCTCACTGCAACCTCTGTCTCCCAGGTTCAAGCGATCCTCCTGCCTCAGCCTCCCAAGTAGCTGGGATTACAAGTGTGTGCCACCACACCTGGCTAATATTTTTTGTATTTTTAGTAGAAACGGTTTCACCATGTTGGCCAGGCTGGTCTCAAATTCCCGACCTAAAGTGTTCCACCTGCCTCTGCCTCCCAAAGTGCTGGGATTACAGGCATGAGCTACACCTGGCCTTCATTTCATTTTGAGTAACATTCAGTAAATGCCTATTTGGTGCCTGACCTGGGCTAGGCCACTGCACATCCATGGGCTCATTGAATCCTCATGGTAACCCATTCTTCAGATCAGAAAATAGAGGCTGTGAGAGGTGACGTGGCTATCCCCAAATTAATGAAAAACAAGCAATAGAGCTGGGCTTGGAATCCAGGCCCTCAAAGTTCCCCTCTTTCCACTCAAGGCCCTCCTGCTCTTTTCTCTGTGTGTTTCCACAGCCCGGCCCCCAGGAGGCATAAATCACATCTGTCCCATTGATTTCAATGAGTGACAAAGATGACGATGTGGTCACAAAGGGGAGGAGATGCAGCCTTGTCATGACTCAATGGGTGGTCACTTTGGGCTTTGGGTCACCTGTTGGCCACAAGGGTTTCATCTGTAAAATGGGCACAGTGCTTCTTATCTGCCTCAAATTCGCAATATATTATTTAGCCAAATAAGAACAATAGTAACGACCCCAACATTTGTTGAGCATTTATTCTGTGCCAGGCCCTGTAGAGTGGGCTCAGGGCTCCATGGCCTGGGTTCAAATCCCATCTCCAACACTTACTGGTTATGTGACCCTCGTTGAGCACCAAAACCCTCTGTGATTCTCAGTTTCCTCATCTGTAAAATGGAGACAATCACAGTATTTCATTGGGTTGAGCTGGGGGTTCAATGAAGCCATGGACTTAAAGTGCTTAGCACAGTACCTGATATTGCTCAATAAATATATTAGGTCCTGTTGTTATGGTTGACATCATTATCTCATACATTATCTCATTTCATCCTCCCCACAACTTGATGAGCCTATTAGCCCCTATTAGGAAAGGGAGGCTCAGCACAGATGCTATTAATAATTAGTTGTCGGCCGGCGCGGTGGCTCACGCCTGTAATCCCAGCACTTTGGGAGGCCGAGGCGGGCGGATCATGAGGTCAGGAGATCGAGACCATCCTGGCTAACATGGTGAAACCCCATCTCTACTAAAAATACAAAAAATTAGCCGGGTGAGGTGGCGGGCGCCTGTAGTCCCAGCTACGCGGGAGGCTGAGGCAGGAGAATGGCGTGAACCCCAGGGGGCAGAGCCTGCAGTGAGCCGAGATCGGGCCACTGCACTCCAGCCTGGGTGAAAGAGCGAGACTCCGTCTCAAAAAAAAAAAAAAAAAAAAAAAATTAGTTGTCTGACCAAGGTCACCAGCTTGGCGCTGGATTCCTGGCCTCAGTGCTGTGGGCTCATGAGTCCAAGGGTTAAAATGGCTACACACCTGCACCGTGATATTGTTATCACTGTTACTTTTTAAAATTTTTTTATTTTTTTGAGATAGGGTCTCACTCCAATGCCCAGGCTGGAGTGCAGTGGCACGATCTCAGCTCAATGCAACCTCCGCCTCCCAGGTTCAAGCAATTCCCCCGCCTCAGCCTCCTGAGTAGCTGGGACTACAGGCACACGCCACCAAGCCCAGCTAATTTTTGTATTTTTAGTAGAGACAGGGTTTCACCATGTTGGCCAGGCTGGTCTCGAACTCCTGATCTCAAGTGATCCACCCTCACTGGCCTCCCAAAGTGTCGGGATTACAGGTGTGAGCCACCGCGCTGGGCCACTGTTACTGTTATTTTTATCCTGACATCATTACCGTAAGGCTGATTTAGAAGGCTTCCTGGTGAGCATGCTAGGTTGTCTCCAAGAGGCAGAGCATTTTACTGGTTTGCCTTCATTCAGACCCAGGCTGGCTGGGGCTGGCTACACCCTTTTGGTTTTCAGCAAGGCCAGCAGTAGCAGGCCAGTTGGTGTCATCCTGGTGACCTTGGATCCCCTAAAGATTGGGAAAGAAACGGCCCGCAAGCCTGTCCCCCACCTTTCTCATAATTTAGAGCTCTCTAGAGAAGCTGGGGGGTGCTGTCATTTACCTGGAAATAGGGAAAATCTTCTCAACAGATTTTGACATTTTGAAAGCAGCTAGCAAGCCCTGCGTCCCCAGGGGTGAGAAAATGCCTTGATCCTCAGGTGGCTGAGCTTGGGGAGTGGGATTTCGATATAACAGTGATCTCTCTATCTGATCACCTTTACCAGCTAGAGGCTGGAGGGAGGGGCAAGGGCAATGGGAAGGATGGAAAAGAGGAGAGAACCCCAAATGAAAACACCACTTCCCAGGTCCGGCCCCGTCCCCACTCGAACCTCGTACTAAGGGTTTGACTGATGCTTAATTGGTATCTGAAAATAGATGTTCCATCCCCAAACAGGGCACAGTTCTACCCCTTCTCTCTTAGGAAGGCAAACCAGACAGGCAAGGGAAACGATGCTTAATAAGAAAGGAAGGCAAGAAGGGCTTGATTTGAATCCTGAGTTTGTGCAGGGAGGATGGCCCAACAGCAGGTCCTCATGTTGTTTATCTGGGGTAGCTTTTTACTTAAGACGATTATTATAACAGCCTTTAGGATGATGTCAAAACTCAACATGTGTTCACGCCTGTAATTCCAGCACTTTGGGAGGCTGAGGCGGGTGGATCACAAGGTCAGGAGATTGAGACCATCCTGGCTAACTCAGTGAAACCCCGTCTCTGCCAAAAATACAAAAAATTAGCCGGGCGTGGCGGCGTGCGCCTGTAGTCCCAGCTGCTGGGGAGGCTGAGGCAGGAGAATGGCGTGAACCTGGGAGGTGGAGCTTGCAGTGAGCCGAGATCAGGCCACTGCACTCCAGCCTGGGCGACAGAGCGAGACTCCATCTCAAAAAAAAAACCACAAAAACACAACATGTGTCTCAGGTGGTGTTAGCACCAAAGGCAACCTCAGAGAACTAATAATGATCCTTAGCGAAAAAAATAAAAAGCAACATATCAGCCACAACCATTCCCTTGCCTATAATGCCTTTTTCCATTTTCTTTTAGGCAAACTTCTACCTGAGCTTCAAAACCCAGACCAGGTGTCACTTCTTGGGGTAAACCTTCCCTGGTATCTACTTGCTGAGGTAATTATGTTCCCAAAGCATTTTGTGCTCCTCTTTATTTCAGCACTAATTGAATCTTATGTGAGTCTCTCCCCACACACATCCGTGAGGGTCTCAAGGGCAGGGAAGCCTGTGTTTGCTCAGCTTTGCTTCTACCCCAGAACTACGCACACGGCAGGTTATCAAGTGAATGGTGACAGATGAACTGATTTGTTCTATCTACTATCCCAGGCCAGATGCAATTTGCAAGGGGGTGGTGAAGATGAGGGTCACAAAGTCATACACACAACGCACTCTGTGACTGGGGACTCGTCTCACTGGCCCCACCCACAGTGACCCAGACTGTTGGCAAGAGAAATGACTGCTAGATAAAGATTAATGCCTCAGCCTCCTGAGATGGACTTAAAAGAAGATGCCTCTAGGGCTGATTTTCTTTGAATCTAGACAAACAAGAGCATCGAAGAGGGTGGGGATCCCTTCTGGGATTCCCAAGGGGTCAGACCTCACTATTTCCTCCAGGAACTTATAGTCTCCTGTGTTAGGAAGTTCTTCCTCATGTCTAACCTGCATTCGTCCTGCTTCAATTGCATTCTATTGCCTTTTGCCCAGTCCTTGGCAGTTGCTTTGCTGCCCTGCCCAGCCATTTCTCAACCCCCACCTATCCCTTCCTGACTCAGGATTGCAGGTAGTGGCTGGGTTCCTCTTTGTGACATTAACAATGCTAGGCCCCCTGTGGATGCTTAAACAAGCCATAAATGTGGGTTACAACTGGAAGGATAGAAGCTGATTCCGGCTGGGAGCGGTGGCTCACGCCTGTAATCTCAGCACTTTGGGAGGCCGAGGCGGGTGGATCACAAGGTCAGGAGATCGAGACCATCCTTGCTAACACGGTGAAACCCCGTCTCTACTAAAAATACAAAAAAAATTAGCCGGACGTGGTGGTGGGCGCCTGTAGTCCCAGCTACTCGGGAGGCTGAGGCAGAAGAATGGCGTGAACCTGGGAGGCGGAGCTTGCAGTGAGCGGAGATCGCGTCATTGCACTCTTGCCTGGGCGACTGAGTGAGACTCCATCTCAAAAAAAAAAAAAAAGAAGCTGATTCCAGGAGCTCCAGGTACAGTGGCTTTGAGCAGGTAGAGGCGAGGTTAGGAGATCATCTTTCAGGATGGAAAAAAGAACATTGTGTTTTCTATTAATTTGCTCACCCTGGGAAGCATTTCTGAAGCCTGTGCCTATGGAGATGTCTAGCAGGCGGTAATAGGGCTGTTTCCTTTGCGCTGGAGCTGGGACTCAAATATATCTGAGCGCTAGGGTCTCTGCCTCCTGACAGCTCTATTTCTGAGAGGCATTTGGAAAATTGAATCTCAGACAACAGAGCCAGGATGATTTCGCAGGCCCGTGACTTTTTTTTTTTTTTTTCCTGAGGCGGAGTCTCACTCTCTTGCCTAGGCTGGAGTGCAGTGGTGCAGTCTCGGCTCACTGAAACCTCCAACTCCCAGGCTCAAGCAATTCTTGTGCCTCAGCCTCCCGAGTAGCTAGGAGTACAGGTGTGTGCCTCACGCCTGGGCTCATTCTCGTATTTTTAGTAGAGACGGAGTTTCACCATGTTGGCCACACTGGTTTCGAACTCCCGACCTCAGGTGATCTGCCCACCTCAGCCTCCCAAAGTGCTGGGATTACAGTCGAGAACCACCTTGCCTGGCCTGGCCCGTGGTTTTAAATCTTTTTGGGTCAAATCCTACATTAAGGATTTGATGGTGGGCAAAGACGAACGTAAATCCCAAGCTCTGCTGGTCTATCAGTCATGCTCCCAGGAACTCTCTAGGCTAAAACTGCTCGGCACACTTACTTCACCTTGGAAGATTCAGTCTTACCCCCTTTCTCCAGCACCCTCAAAGTCCTTCCCTTCTCCAAGCAAACGGAATTTCTATATTAGCAGAGGCCTTAAGGCAAGCTCTCCATATATCTTCCTGTCCTTTCATTGTCACATCCTGCAAAGGCTAGCGGTCCTTCTTCCAGCGCTGAGTTTGTAGGGAGAATGGCCCAACAGCAGGTAGGTCCTCATGTTATTTATCTAGGGTAGCTTTTCACTTAAGATGATGATTACGATAACAGCCTTTGATGATGTCAAAACTCAGCAAGTGTCTCAGGTGTTGTGAGCACCAAAGACAACCTCAGAGAACTAATAATGATCCTCAGCAAGAAAAAAAAGCAATGTTATCCGCCACAACCACTCCTTTTTTTTTTTTTCAGATGGAGTCTCGCTCTGTCGCCCAGGCTGGAGTGCAGTGGTGTGATCTGAGCTCACTGCAACCTCCACCTCCCAGGTTCAAGCAATTCTCCCACCTCAGCCTCCTGAGTAGCTGAGATTACAGGTGCCTACCATCATGCCCGGCTAATTTTTGTATTTTTAGTAGAGATGGAGTTTCGCCATGTTGGCCAGGCTGGTCTCAAACTCCTGACCTCAGGGGATCTTCCCACCCTGGCCTCCCAAAGTGCTGGGATTACAGGCGTGAGCCACCGCGCCTGGCCCCGCATTCCTTTTACTATAATGCCTGTTTCCTTTTTGTTTTAGGCAAACACTTATCTGATCTTCAAAACCCTGAGGTCCTGTTCTCAATGTTGAGCTCCACTCCTCAGGCTTGAAGACCAAAGTTATGCTTTGCAAGTTGGCATTGTCTAACTAAGGTGGGCAGTGTGCAAGGAAATGACCAGTCTGCCATTGCTCAGATTTCTGCATTGACTTTTAGTGTCTTTCTTGCGGAGTCAAGGCCTCCCCTGCTTCTTCCTTCGAACCGAGATCTCAAGGATTACTGCAGACCGGGAATTACAAATGGATACCTGGAGGTGGTAGGGGGTAAGCTAAATCAGTAAGGAAGGCTGGGTAACTTCCAAACAGGACATTTAGTTGCATATTTAAAAAGAAAGACTTTTGTGTGTGTAGAAATGAAGAATGTTGTTAGGTGCTTTTTTTTGTTTTGTTTTTGTTTTGAGACAGGTTCTTGCTCTGTCACCCAGGCTGGAGTGCAGTGGCACTAACAGGGCTCACTGTAGCCTCAACTTCCCTGGCTCAAGCGATACTCCCGCCTCAACCTCCCAAGTAGCTGGGACTACAGGTGCACGCCACCAGGCCCAGTTAATAGTTTATACTCTCTTTTTTGTAGAGACGGGGTTTTGCTATGTTGCCCAGGCTGGTCTTAAATTCCTAGGCTCAAGCGATCCACCTGCCTTGGCTTCCTAGAGTGCTGGGATTACAGGTGTGAGCCACTGTGCCCAGCCAAAAAAATCTTTCTTAAAACATGAACCTCTTGGTCCATCTCTACCTGCCACTTATAAAAATGACATGGGCCCAGGTGCAGTGACTCATACCTGTAATCCGAGCACTTTGGGAGGCTGAGGCAGGTGGATCACCTGAGGCCAGGAGTTCGAGACCAGCCTGGCCAAGATGGTGAAACCCCATCTCCAAAAAATGTAAAAATTACCCGAGTGTGGTGGCACACACCTGTAATTCCAGCTACTCAGGAGGCTGAGGGGGGAGGATTGCTTGAACCCAGGAGGCGGAGGTTGCAGTGAGCAGAGACAGCACCAGAGACTCTGTCTCACAATAAATAATAATAATAATAATAATAATAGAGACATGGGTACAAAAGGATTTAACTTTCCTCCTAGTATAAGAAATCAAAAGCACTAATGCTATTATAAATGACAATGGACACTGGCCTTAATAAGAGGGAGACAATAGGGAGTGGTGAGGTTTGTGGCCAACTAGAAAGCCACATCCTGTCTAGAGGGGGCAGCTGCTATTCAGTCTATGCAGATTGTTGCCCCATAAGAATATGGTTGGCTGCAGTGACTCACACCTATAATCCCAGCACTTTGGGAGGCTGAGAAGGGAGGATTGCTTGAACTAGGAGTTCGAGACCAGCCTGGGCAACATAGCAAGATCCCGTTTCTACAAAAAAATATAAAAAGTTAGCCAGGTCTAGTGGCACCAGCCTGTAGTCCTAGTTACTCGGGATGCTGCAGTGGGAGGATCTCTTAAGTCTAGGAGATTGAGGTTGCAGTGAGTAAGCTATGATGGTGCCACTGTACCTTGGCCTGGATGGTGCCACTGTACCTTGGACTGGAAGACAGAGCAAGACCTGTCTCTAAAAAACAACAAACAAACAAAAAAAAAACAGCGTATAGGCGCAATGTGGTCAGATTATATAATTTTTTTTTTTTT